>NC_000001.11:174093677-174396708 GCF_000001405.40 Homo sapiens | reverse complement strand
ATTTTTCCCTTAAAATTTTTAAAGGTATGAATTATGAAAGCCTCTTAGTGAAAAAAGGGGTATGGCAGTTACCTCCTACCCCATGGCAGCCAATAAAAGTATATAATTTAGTTTATTATTTACAAGAAAAAGTAATTTGATACCCAGAGTTATGATCTCTGAAAATTTCAATCAGATACTCCATCGATAAAAACTTCTAGGCATAAATATCTAACATATATATATTTATCATGTACAAGTGCTATTATACTAATATATTATAGATATTATAAAGCACAGAAATTTAGATAGGATGTAAAAAAGATAATTAAAAATGCTATAAAATACTATTCAATATTGAATATGGATCTTTTTTTGTGTGTGTGAAATTTTTCTATTGTGTTAAACATAACATAAAATTCACCATTTAGAAGTGTACAATTCAGTGGTTTTTAGTATATTCATAATCTTGAGCAACTGTCACCACCGTCTAATTCCAGAATATTTCCATCATCTAAAAACAAACTCCATATATCTGTTAGCAGTGACCCCCAATTCCTTTTTCCTCCAACCCCTGGCAACTATTAGTCTACTTTCTGTCTCTATAGGTTTGCCTATTCTAAACATTTTATATAAAAATAATCATAAAATATGGGTCACTATTTTTAATATGTTTGTTATAGCAGTTTATAAAACAACAATGAAAACTTGTTTCTGCATCAGTTTTTTGATTCATGGTTTTGTTATCATATCTAAAAAAGACTTACAAAGATCCACAGACCCAAGTAGACGTACATCATTTTTTCAGTCCCACTCATCAATCATTTTGTTGAAATTTGGCTAGGAAATATCTACTTTCTCTAGGTATTCTTTCTTTTTTTTTTTTTTTTTAGAGACAGGGTCTTGCTATGTTGCCCAAGCCAAAGTGTAGTGGCTAGTCACAGGTGCAAGTTCCTGGCCTCAGGCAGTCCTCCCACTTCAGCCTCTCAATAGCTGAGACTCCAGGCATATGCCACCACACCAGCTTCTAGATATTCATATGAACAAATCAGAAGGTGTTGTGTTTATATGCTTTTAACAATCAGTTCCAAATTCTCTGCAACTACTTGTATAAGTTTTAAACATATTTAAAGTTTCTGATTCCAGGTTTTTAAGTGTGAAGATGTAAGAGTTTTTTATAGTGATGCATGTTATTTCAATGAAAAAAATCACAGAGGTGTTTAAACCGCCATATGTTTCAAAATGTCCATCTTTGTTACATGAGTTTGTTTCCAAAAGTAGTTGCTTTGTCATTATCATAATATTAATTCTTCCCTGAAGGAACATATTAAATTAAAAAAAAAACTTGACATGCAGCATCCTGTGATAGTAATCTTTTTAAGCCAATCACACATTTTATGAGGATTAAGTTACATCTAGATAACCTGTAAATCCACTTAATCTAACACATGCAAACTGCAAGAAACCTATAATATTTTGGAAGTTAATATACGAGTGTGAGCCCCACAATTATTCCTCCAAAGTGTGTAAGTTCCATTCTTCCCTAAGGTCACTCCTGAACCATGTGGGACCAGTGGCCACTGGACCCAAGGACCTCATAAAGCCTCAGTACTATGGCACACCAAATATTAGTACAGCTTAGTATCCTTTGGTGTACTTATTTAAAAGAAATACAAATGGAACTTTGGACATTTTTTCCCACACACCAATGGATCATCTTGCATATTCCAATGCAGAGGCCATCAATTTAAAAAAAAAAAGTTAAATTAAAAAAAAAAAACTGAATTCAGCAGTGATAATTATACTAGGCACTCAGAAAATATTTATGGAAGGGAAGGAGGCAAAGAGGAAAGAAAAGTAAAAAGAAATTACAGCAGATAAAAAGTTCTAAAAGTTCATATAGTCTGAGGAACAAAGTCTTGATTATAAAAATCTCATTTATGAGGAGAGGTTCCTTTAAATTAAAAAATAAAATTTTACTATTATTTTAAAATACAGTACTTAGAGTAGATTAAGTAATTAGGTGGTAAGACCTAGGGTGGTGAGTCCAGGGTCAAGGCCAACACCTACCTTTACTTATGCTCTAAAACCAGGTATTTAGACATAAGCAAAGGAATTTACAGTGGAACCAAGGGCCCCTGACAGAAAAAGGGCAAGTATCTACATTATTTAAATGTAAGGTGACATAAGCACAGAAGAATTTTTAATTTCATTTTAATGTTATTGTAAAATTATACAAGAGTAACTATGTATGATTATAACTATATAAATCTCATACAATTAAAAAAGGTTAATTGAAAAGTTAGAAAACACTTGAAATATAAATATATTCCAATTTGGTAAATAGCTATTATAAAATCACTTGAATGAAAAGATAAAAACCAAGGCATACAATGTTCATAGATGACTAAGTGCATTGTTTACCACTACAAGTGTTCAGAACAAAAGGTAGAAGTACTGACTTCACGACCTCAATATATTCATGAAGAAGTTCAAAGCATTTATGACTTATGGGAGCTATGAAAACTAGGATTTATTTAATAGGTCATCCAATGAAAATAATATGAAAAGAACTTCTTCCTACCTTTGTGATAAGAATTCGGTATCTATCCAGCATTGCCTGGTTGTCATGGCAGCCTGCCAATAACTGCCATACCTCTGCCCTCAATGCTTCAGGGACACCACTCTTCACCAGAGTAGACAGCCCTTTCGGTCGTGCACCAAGGTTACTGTGCCTGAGAAGACAAGAAAATAATCCATTCACACTTCCTTTACAACTCCTGAACTGCTGTTGCCATGAAAAGTATACTAGTTTATATAAAAGTGTAAGCTTGGGTCAAGAGAAAACAGTTTGTGGGGGGGCATTAAACAATAGTACTGCTTAAGCTCAGTTATATCTTCAATTTTTTTATTGATCTCATCTTCTTATTGGTGAACCAGGTAATTCTACCTCCAGGAAAAGCTTGTTCTTCTTCTCACTTACTTTTAAAAATCATCCTATGGACTTACTCATAATAATTAACGTGTTAGTTATATATTGCTAGGCAACATTTCAAGGCATAAAAAGAACCATCTGGATTCCCTGAAATGAATGTACAGCAAGCTGGACAATGATGTGTGGTAGGAAATAGGGTTCAGGAAATGATGTTGAAAACGGATCATAGGCCTATCACACCTTGACTATACCCACTTCTCTGAGGCCAAGCTGAGCTGGGCCAAGTGCCAAAGACAGACTCCACAGTATAGGAGGCATAAGGCATACATATTATAGTCAAGTTTTACCTGGCGGCCACATCCTGACTCCCAGGTCCTCCAGGAAGCCCTATCTCTTGATGACCTAACTTGGAATTCTTTGTTCAAGCATAAACTTAGATATCAATGAACCTCCAAGTTAAAACAACCTAAGATAGGTTTTCTAGTAAGAAGAGTTCATTATTGTTTACATGTCTGAATTTGTCTCCCTGACTTGTTACAACAGCAAGTGCTCATTAAAGGAAGGACCTAACCCTTTCCTACAATCACCAGAACCTACACAACAACTCCAACTTGCTGGGGAAGCAACACATACTTATCAGGCTTTACCACATCCCAAAGGTGTGCAGCGTCAGAACAAAGGCAAAGATCTCTCCTCCTAAAATCAATGATCACAACATAGTAAATATGCTACTATGCCCATCTGACCAAGAAACTGAATTGCATATCTCAATATTGTGAATGCAATTTCATTTGTCATCTTTTTCCTGGTGCCTAGCTTGAATCTGGAACTATATTCTATGCCTTTTTGCTCAGACTTTACTTGTATTTGTTGCTCATTTTTTATCTATTAGAGCTGACTCTGGTGCAACCACTGGGACTCCAAACCTTGACAATGTACTCTGGTTTGATCTAACACCCCAGGCTCTGGTTTCAAGTTTTGAGCCTCGAAAGTCATAGAATCCACATGTCTATTTTCTAAAAGTGGCCTCCCACCTGCTTCACTAGATTATACACACTCTTCTACCTCTAGCTCAAACCCCAGTATTGGCATACCTTCCTCTGAAAATATATTCCTTGCTTTCCCCATACTGTCATATTTGGGCTATCTCAGAAAAAAACTAAAACTTCCACAACTGAAACAAGTTCAAGTAAACTCATCCCATTAATAATTTTAGTAAACCATCAGATTTAATGGTTTCTTTTAGCCTTTTCTAGCTAAGCTTTTGTATTGTTGGGTTAGAGAAACTAAGCTGATAATACTGATGGGCTTGAAGCAAAAATAAACTAGAGAAAGGCAGAGTTTATATGACTTAACGTGCTACCATACCTTAAAATAACAGTTATGCTGCCAAGTGACAAAAGCAAGTTTCAAATTAGTAAATAGGTGTTAGTTTAAATACACCTCCATAACCGCTATTTTGAAACCTGCTTTTAGACATGCATAGAAAAATAATATGGAAGAACATACTCCAAAATATCTGTGTAATAGAATTAAAAGGGAAAGTAGCCCTTTTATTTTCCTATGCTGTCTGAAATATTTATAATGATTTTAAATTCTTTTATAATCATAAAACACAAGAAGTCATTTCAATTCTTTAAACTTCTCTCGTGGCTTTAAATTAAAACATAATTTTAGTTAATTTGGAAAAACATCATAGATAATTATGCTTCACAAAATATGTCAAGTAGAGGAAGAGTATTAATTATTCTTCAGAAGACTTCCACCTGAATAAACTATTTGACAAGGAATATTATGCCACAAGAGAGCCAGGATTAGTCATAAAAGGATCTTTTTGTAATTTAATGTTTGGCTGTGATTATACTGTTGAATAGGAAAAACATATGGGTTAAGGGTATTAGTATAGAAAACTGGGTTAATTAAAAGCAATGATGTACAAAGAGCAAAGGTCATTTCCTCTCAAATTAAATGCAAAATATTCTAAATTATGAGTCCAATAATTTATAATATCATGTAAGGGAAATCCAAAGTAGTTAAATATAGTATATGTTACATGTTATATAGAGATCAGCAAGTCATCACTGTGTCTCTACAGCTATTAAAACTCCAATAAATTAAATTAATTAAAACTGCATGTGAAAGAATCCTTTCTTGGCTGGGCACAGTGGCTCATATCCATAATCCCAGCACTTTGGGAGGCCAAAGCAGGCGGATCGTTTGAGCCCAGGCGTTCAGACCAGTTCCAGACCAGTTCCAGACTGGGCAACATGGCAAAACCTCATCTCTAGAAAAAAAACAAAATACAAAAAACTTAGCCGGCCATGGTGGCATGTGCCTGTAGTTCCAGCTACTTGGGAGGCTGAGGTGGGAGAATCACCTGAGCCTCAGAGGTTGAGACCAAATGAGCTAAGGTCACACCAGGCAGGGCATCAGAGTGAAACTCTGTCTCAAAATTTAAAAATTAAGAACATTGAAAAAAATCCTTTCTTCAATGCCATGCGCAATTCTCCATCACACTCTTACCCTGTGCAACAAATTTCAAGAGTTGGTATGGAAGCACTATCTCTATTTCTTCCCCTCCAACTCCTACCTCAATTCAGTTCAACATGGCTTCTGCATCTCTCCTTGAAAAGTTTTCACTTAAATGATCTATGACTTCTCTCCATGCCCCACTGGATTCAAGACATATTTTCACTCCTTTCACTGTGGACCAATCTGTTTCCCTTGGCTTCAGTGACAAAGCACTACTTCTTTATCCACCTTCACAAACTCCATTGTTGATTGCTTCTCCTCTATTAACCTCTTAAGGGCTTGAAGTTATCTCTCTTTACTCTTGCCCTTTTCTTTCATTCTCTTGTCTCTAGGCATTATCACCTATAAACATGTATCCCAAGTTCTAGAAGCTCAAAGGCACCTCAAAGTCAGTATGCCCAAGTCTGAACTCAGTTTCTTCTCCCTAACCTGGTCGTTTTCCAGGGTATTCCACCTCAGAAATTGTTACCACACTCCATCCAAACTGGAAACCTAGGAATTATTTTTGCCCCATCATCTATTACTAATCCACCACCAAGTCTAATACATCTTATTTTCTCAACCTCTACAAAGTTCATGCACTTCCATCTCAACTGCAACCAACTTTATCCTCCCCAGACTTCTGCAATAGCCTCCTAACATTCACTGGACCTACTATAACATATTTCCAACATTGTAGGCAGAATGAAAGTAACAAGCAGCTTGATTAAATACTCGGTTGGCCCAGATTATTTTGCATAATGATTTAACTGTAATATTTTATATAATGATATATAATAACATAATGATTTAACTATATTTTAAAGTTTGAATATCTCTTCCTACACATGCATACACACGTACATAAACATACTCCTTAAGATTAATAGTCAACAGTCCCCAATGAATACTTTACCATAATATAATCTAACTCAATTGACATTCAGTTTCTAGCTGACCCTCAGCCACTTGTTTGGCCAGGCATAATGAAAATGTCTTTTCTCCTCTCTTAAAAATCAAAGCACTATTTATCTTTAGAGACAGGCATTTAAAAAGAACTGGGTCACTCATAACACTGCTTGATTAACAGCCTTATTTTACTGGTTATCCCAAGTAACAGTACAGCAATTATACTGCATACAGCACCCTATCACTTGAGAAGTACTAATAAATATTAAGCTAGATGCTGCTAGTATATATCTATGATCAGAGAAGATCCAAATAAATAAAAGAGAAATTTATAAAAATAATCATTGCTTTCAATATTTCTGATTAAAATGTAATTACACATTGCCATTGCTTTGATACATTAACTGCAGTTATCAGGAACTTGAAAATAGGCAACTAGTTATGATACATGCTGAACTCTACCCTAGAAACAAGACGGATACCTAATACAATTATTTTTAAAGTCATACATAAATCAAATATCTATTAATCATACAGTAATTGGCTAGGTTTTAATGCATGAATAGAAACTCCACAATGGCAAGAATCTTTGTCTTCTTTACTTATATATCTTAAGCACCTAGAAACAGTGCCCCACATATAAAAGGCATTTAATACATTTTTGGTAAGTGAATGAATATAATTATGAAATGAAATTAATATGTCAATTACTAAAGCTAAACAAAAAAGAATGCTTTTTTAGAAGCAAACATTCTCACTGAATTTAATAGGATCAAAAAAATGTCATGGACTCATCTAGTGGATTTCCTTTGCTTTCAAAGAGGATTTTCTTGAAACTACTTAGGCATATAAGAACTCTACTTTTAAAGATGTCTATTGGGAGATAAAATTTCAAAGGGAAAGAGTTATTTCTAACAAAAACAGCAGAAAAAGCAAGAGATGAGGGGGATAAAAGTCATTGAATGTGACCACTGAAAAGTCACCAATGGAATTAGAGAAATTTTGATAGGAGGTGGAAGTAGGTGGCTATGAGATATGAGAATATGACACCAGCAGCATGACCTATTTGAAAAAGTTCTCTCTAGAAAGGAAAAGACTATAACTGAAATTAAAAGATGAGGTGGCATCAAGAAAGGTCGGAGATTTCTCCATCCCGCAATAATGAGAAGAACTAGATACGGAGAAGTTATACGACCTACATTAAGAAATGTTTCAAGAAAAAGGATAGATTAAAGGTCATTATGAAGATGAAAAGCATATTAATTCAGAATACATTTTCCCACTCTGCTGATAAGTAATGAATAGCCATGAAAATACAATTAAAATGCCTACTAAATATGTATCAATTTTCTCTTATTCAATAAAAACAGCAGAAAAAGCAAGAGATGAGGGGGATAAAAGTCATTGAATGTGACCACTGAAAAGTCACCAATGGAATTACAGAAATTTTGATAGGAGGTGGAAGTAGGTGGCTATGTACCAATTTTCTCTTACTCAATAAAAAAGAATGACCGATTTGAAGGTGACTTTACTTGATGTAATAATCCAATACCCAATTATTTTCCTCCAATGTTCACTTAGTCTTTTTGGTTAGAAAATCTTCCTGCATATTCTTCCTGCTAAAAGTTGACTTACTAAGTATTCACAGTAAGCACTACCTTTATTTTTGTCTTTAAACTTTTTTAAGTTTTCCATGCATCTCAAAACCTGAAGCAGTTATCCAGATATTATTCTGCCTAATCCTTTAAATTATTTAAATAATAGTTAAATCATCAGCATTACCATTCTGAATATATTCAACATATAAAAGAAATCTTGCTACCACGTTTAGTTTTGTTTTTACAAGTTCTCCTATCCCAAATGTTTTCTCTCTCTCTCTCTCAACCTTTCTTTCTTTAGCTTATGTGCTTTTTTCATGTAGTTATTTCAATACACCTGTATCTCCAATCTGTTATAAAGACCTCCAGTACTGAACTTTTTATACAGTCTGTTCTTAGTTTTCTATATTATTTTTATTTTTTCTAATGATTTCAAATTAGTATTGAAATATTTTTCCTTTACATCTTTCTGATAGTGTATTTAATTATAAGAATTCTGACTTTATTCATGTTTTGCTTTTTTAAAAGAATGATCTAGCTATTTAAGAGTAAGTTCAAAATCTTTTCAAACACGTTTAAAATTTCACTGAGCATATATACTGTATCCTCACTTTAAAAAATATTTCCCCAAAGCACAAAGTGTAGGACTCCACATGACAGGTGCTTTACCTACATAAATCACAAAAATGTCTATATGTAAATGCCTACCTATTTTTCCCGACACTTAGGAAATTTCTAAATCGAATGTTTCAAAAAGAAATTTGAGCACAATTAAAAATATTTGACAATCCTCGTATAAAAGACATAGTAGTTTATACTTCTGTAGTTTACACAAATGTTACCCTTTTCATATCATGACATAATTATAATAATGGCCCAAATAAAAAAAATTTGAATTGTAAAAAATCCAACAAGTTTTCTAAAGGTCTAAGAATCAATTATGTTAGTTTTTTAAAACAGTTCCCTCAGATCTTTAAATAATTTCCTAAAGTCCATTAATAAAAATATTATTAGAAATATTTTATTTCTGAAAAAAATGTACACTGAATTTCAGCTGAGCAACCCTGTCATTTCTACCTCAGAAGTCTTTTCCCATTTGGAGCCTCATCTCTGTACATAGGGTCAGTGAGTCTGGTATAAATATCATCAACCCATGCAATTACTTCCCAATTTGTTTCTCTGTTAATCAATGTTCTTCCTACTCCAATATTACCTTCCAAAAAAAAAAAAGAAAAACCCAATGGGAGTCTCAGCTTAAAGAAATTTGTTAGATATTGTCTTTATTGAAGTTGGGCAGTGGGCACATGAGACTTCATTGTATTATTTTATTTCTGTGTACATTCAAAAATTTCCATTAGGTCTACAATGCTTACAGAAGGATTTATTGATAATATCACAATTTTCTGTTTAAAGGTCTGCATGCCTCTATAACATGGTAAACCTTGAGGGTAGAAACTATCCTTACTCATCTTTAAATCAGCAGTGTCTGTTAAAGTCCCCAAGAAAGAATAGATGATTAAGACTTAAAAGTTGAATGAATGAATGAATGAAGTGACTTGTTTTACAGGAAAAAAAGTGGTCAAGAAATGTGAAACAGCCTCAGTGTTTCAGTTACTTTGTTAAATAATCTCTTATGAGTATGCATTCCCACCTACATTGATTATAAACCTCAAAGGTAGAAACTATGTTGTTTTCTATGTAACTCTAAGAGTCTAAGATGATGCCTCATAAATTTATATTGAAGCAAGTAATAAATCTTGCATTTTAGAAACTGAGTGGAGATCTCTATTTGACTGTTTATTTAGTCATCAAAATATTTTGTTTTCTTACCCACCATACTGCCATTCTCATAATCTCTCTTTAAAATCATGACTAGAAGCTTCAAGTACTGCCTGGGCCAGGGTTATCGATTTTCCTAGTTTATTCACTTACTCACTAGAACTTCTACATGCTCTTATAAAAACTAATCTAGGCCGGTGCGGTGGCTCACACCTGTAATCCCAGCACTTTGGGAGGCCAAGGCAGGCAGATCATGAGGTCAGGAGTTCAAGACCAGCCCGGCCAACATGGTGAAACTCCGTCTCTACTAAAGATACAAAAAATTAGCCAGGCGTGGTGGCCCATACCTGTAATCCCAGCTACCCAGGAGGCTGAGGCAGGAGAATCACTTGAACCCAGGAGGTGGAGGTTGCAGTGAGCCGAGATCGCCCCATTGCACTCCAGCCTGGGCAACAAGAGTGAAACTCCATCTCAAAAAAAAAAAAGAAAACACAAACACACACAAACACACACACACACACACCCTGTTCTGGCTCTAAAACCAGAGTGGTTTAGATTCAGAAACTGGCTCTGTCATTTACTTGATATGATCATGGGCAAATTACTTATTGGCTGTGAGATCTTGAGCAAGTTACTTAGTTGCTGCCATTTTGTTTTCTGTATTTTTACACTAGCTACCTAATATAGCTATGCCTCAGTTCTCTCACCTCTAAAATGAAGATATAATAATACCTACCTCAGAGAGCTGCTGCAACAATTAAATTAACACATGGAGAGTGCTTAGAACAGAACCTGGCACATAGTAAGTACACTGAACTGTCAGTTATTACCTCTGTAGCCATGCCTCACCTTTCCTTCCGTTACAATGAGCTATCTCTGCTCCCAAATTCAACCCCTCCACTAGTCAACATATACATCTTTTCTTGCCTATTCATCAAATTATCCTACAATTATGTCCTCTTTCTCTGACACTATCAAATTTTCTGTTACATCCTTTCTAACAACATACAAACATGCTATATTGCCCATTTTAATAAAAAACTCTCAACCCACATCCACTTACTAATGTGTCCTCGTTTCCTATCATCCTTTTATAGCAAAACTATTTTTAAGAGCTATCTATATCTGCTGATTTCCAATCCAGCTGGGCTTTCATTCCTGCCTCTCCATTGAAACTGTTCTTAAGATCACCAGTGACACCTAAATTGTTGAATCCAGTGGAATTCTAGGCTTCATCAGACTTCACCTATCAGCACTTGACTACTGTGTCATTCTTGATAGACTTAGTTTACTGGATTTCTATCTTGATTCTCCTCCCACCTCACTGGTTGTACTTTCTTGGGCTCCTTTGCCTGATCCTCCTCATACGTCCAACTCCCAAACACTGGAGTGGTCGAGGGTGCAGTCTTTGGATGATGTCTTCGGATGATGTCTTCATCTAAACTCACTCCGTAAGTAATCTCGCCCATTTCATTCTAACAGCTTTAAAAACCATCTATATACTGATGACTCCCAAACTCATATTTCCTTCCCTATCTTTTCCTTGAACTCAATGTTACATGAAATTGATTAATGGACATAGTCACTTGGATGTCTTAAATGCATCTCAACATCTCCAAAATCTTGATTTTATCCTCCAAATCTCTCTTCTATATTTGAGTAAACAGCAAGTCTTCTAGTAGCTCAAGCCAAAAACTCTGACATCAGTGGCCAGTTATTTATTTTTCTCAGGCCACACAGAAAAGAGAAGCAAATACAGTCAGTACTCTCTTAAAATATATCCAGAATCCGATCACATGTCACCCTCTGCTACCAGCCTAGTGCAACATGTAATTATCTCTCCCCTGGATTATTTACAATAGCATTCTCCTAATCTGCCTGCTTCCACCTTTGTTCCCTTATAATCCATTTTTCACTGGGCAGTCAGAATGATGTTTTTAAAATGGCTAAATCAAAATATCTCACCATGACATGATCAAGACACAAATTAGTCAAGTAACATTCCCAGGGTTCAAGATGAAGCCAGATATAAGATAAATAAATCTATGTATAACCTAATAGAGAATATTACAACTTAGATTTCTTAAAACACTATATAAGACAAGATAATTAATTACCAAATATAGATATATAAAATGTTCATAAAATTGGACAGAAATCTGTAGTGGTAAGAGATATTTCATCAAAAAATTCAGTCAATAAATATGAATTGAGCACCTACTATACTCTAGAAACTGCAGGAGATGTCTCTAAAACAACAGTGACTTTAAGGAGGTCATGTGCACTTGACATAACTTTGCAGGATAAGAAGAGAGAAGTTAGTTAAGACAGAGTTACCTATAATAAATATTACAAAATAAAGAGAGAAAAATGGATATGCAAGGTATAATGAAGGCACTGTTCTGACAAGAGAAAAGAACACACTTCAAATAGCCATCTATGTATAAGACATAAATTTCTTTTTTTTTTTCCTTTTTTTCCTTTTTTTTGGTTTAGTGACACTATTCTTGCTTCAGCACCTACTGCAGTTAAAACTCAGGGCTTTTTTTTCTTTTTTGTCATTTATTTAAGGCACAATTTATACAGAGTAAAATTCACATTTTTAGTATACAATTCTGTGAGATTTGACAAATGCACATAGGTTTGTGAGCACTACCATAACCAAGATACAGGATAGTTCCCTCATTCCCCCCATACCCAAATTCCCTGGACCCTCTTGTAGTCAATACCACCAGTCCTTAACAACTACTGACATGCTTCCTATGATGATAGTTTTGACTTTTCCAGAATTTCATACAAATGGAATAACATAGTATTAAGTCACTTGACTTTGGCATAGGTCACTTAACATGATGCACTTGAGATCCATCAGTTGTAATGTATATCAGTTCATTCTTTTAATTGCTCAGTAGCATTCCATACAATGAATATACCACAGTTGGTTGATCCATTTACTTTTGACGGACATTTGGGTTGTTTGCAGTTTGGGGTGATTATGAGCAAGGCTATCATAAACATTCACATACAGGTTTTAATTTCACTTTGGTAAACACACAGCAGTGGGACTGGAATTGCTGGGGTGGTATAAGAAGGGTCTTCAATTTTATAAAATACCATGCTATTTTCCAAAATGGCTACACCATTTTGTATTTCCACCAGCAACATATGAGAGTTGCAGTTGCGAGGAGGAGCCAAGATGGCCGAATAGGAACAGCTCCGGTCTACAGCTCCCAGCATGAGCGACGCAGAAGACGGGTGATTTCTGCATTTCCATCTGAGGTACCGGGTTCATCTCACTAGGGAGTGCCAGACAGTGGGTGCAGGCCAGTGGGTGCGCGCACCGTGCGCGAGCCGAAGCAGGGCGAGGCATTGCCTCACTTGGGAAGCGCAAGGGGTCAGGGAGTTCCCTTTCCCAGTCAAAGAAAGCGGTGACGGACGCACCTGGAAAATCGGGTCACTCCCACCCGAATATTGCCCTTTCCAGACCGGCTTAAAAAACGGCGCACCACGAGATTATATCCCACACCTGGCTCAGAGGGTCCTACGCCAACGGAATCTCGCTGATTGCTAGCACAGCAGTCTGAGATCAAACTGCAAGGCGGCAGTGAGGCTGGGGGAGGGGCGCCCGCCATTGCCCAGGCTTGCTTAGGTAAACAAAGCAGCCAGGAAGCTCGAACTGGGTGGAGCCCACCACAGCTCAAGGAGGCCTGCCTGCCTCTGTAGGCTCCACCTCTGAGGGCAGGGCACAGACAAACAAAAAGACAGCAGTAACCTCTGCAGACTTAAATGTCCCTGTCTGACAGCTTTGAAGAGAGCAGTGGTTCTCCCAGCACGCAGCTGGAGATCTGAGAACGGGCAGACTGCCTCCTCAAGTGGGTCCCTGACCCCTGACCCCCGAGCAGCCTAACTGGGAGGCACCCCCCAGCAGGGGCACACTGACACCTCACATCGCAGGGTATTCCAACAGACCTGCAGCTGAGGGTCCTGTCTGTTAGAAGGAAAACTAACAAACAGAAAGGACATCCACACCGAAAACCCATCTGTACATCACCATCATCAAAGACCAAAAGTACATAAAACCACAAAGATGGGGAAAAAACAGAACAGAAAAACTGGAAACTCTAAAACGCAGAGTGTCTCTCCTCCTCCAAAGGAACGCAGTTCCTCACCAGCAACGGAACAAAGCTGGATGGAGAATGACTTTGACAAGCTGAGAGAAGAAGGCTTCAGACGATCAAATTACTCTGAGCTACGGGAGGACATTCAAACCAAAGGCAAAGAAGTTGAAAACTTTGAAAAAAATTTAGAAGAATGTATAACTAGAATAACCAATACAGAGAAGTGCTTAAAGGAGCTGATGGAGCTGAAAACCAAGGCTCGAGAACTACGTGAAGAATGCAGAAGCCTCAGGAGCCGATGCGATCAACTGGAAGAAAGGGTATCAGCAATGGAAGATGAAATGAATGAAATGAAGCGAGAAGGGAAGTTTAGAGAAAAAAGAATAAAAAGAAATGAGCAAAGCCTCCAAGAAATATGGGACTATGTGAAAAGACCAAATCTACGTCTGATTGGTGTACCTGAAAGTGATGGGGACAATGGAACCAAGTTGGAAAACACTCTGCAGGATATTATCCAGGAGAACTTCCCCAATCTAGCAAGGCAGGCCAACGTTCAGATTCAGGAAATACAGAGAACGCCACAAAGATACTCCTCGAGAAGAGCAACTCCAAGACACATAATTGTCAGATTCACCAAAGTTGAAATGAAGGAAAAAATGTTAAGGGCAGCCAGAGAGAAAGGTCGGGTTACCCTCAAAGGGAAGCCCATCAGACTAACAGCGGATCTCTCGGCAGAAACCCTACAAGCCAGAAGAGAGTGGGGGCCAATATTCAACATTCTTAAAGAAAAGAATTTTCAACCCAGAATTTCATATCCAGCCAAACTAAGCTTCATAAGTGAAGGAGAAATAAAATACTTTACAGACAAGCAAATGCTGACAGATTTTGTCACCACCAGGCCTGCCCTAAAAGAGCTCCTGAAGGAAGCGCTAAACATGGAAAGGAACAACCGGTACCAGCCGCTGCAAAATCATGCCAAAATGTAAAGACCATCGAGACTAGGAAGAAACTGCATCAACTAATGAGCAAAATCACCAGCTAACATCATAATGACAGGATCAAATTCACACATAACAATATTAACTTTAAATGTAAATGGACTAAATGCTCCAATTAAAAGACACAGACTGGCAAATTGGATAAAGAGTCAAGACCCATCAGTGTGCTGTATTCAGGAAACCCATCTCACGTGCAGAGACATACATAGGCTCAAAATAAAAGGATGGAGGAAGATCTACCAAGCAAATGGAAAACAAAAAAAGGCAGGGGTTGCAATCCTAGTCTCTGATAAAACAGACTTTACACCAACAAAGATCAAAAGAGACAAAGAAGGCCATTACATAATGGTAAAGGGATCAATTCAACAAGAAGAGCTAACTATCCTAAATATATATGCACCCAATACAGGAGCACCCAGATTCATAAAGCAAGTCCTGAGTGACCTACAAAGAGACTTAGACTCCCACACATTAATAATGGGAGACTTTAACACCCCACTGTCAACATTAGACAGATCAAAGAGACAGAAAGTCAACAAGGATACCCAGGAATTGAACTCAGCTCTGCACCAAGTGGACCTAATAGACATCTACAGAACTCTCCACCCCAAATCAACAGAATATACATTTTTTTCAGCACCACACCACACCTATTCCAAAATTGACCACAGAGTTGGAAGTAAAGCTCTCCTCAGCAAATGTAAAAGAACAGAAATTATAACAAACTATCTCTCAGACCACAGTGCAATCAAACTAGAACTCAGGATTAAGAATCTCACTCAAAGCCACTCAACTACATGGAAACTGAACAACCTGCTCCTGAATGACTACTGGGTACATAACGAAATGAAGGCAGAAATAAAGATGTTCTTTGAAACCAACGAGAACAAAGACACCACATACCAGAATCTCTGGGACGCATTCAAAGCAGTGTGTAGAGGGAAATTTATAGCACTAAATGCCCACAAGAGAAAGCAGGAGAGATCCAAAATTGACACCCTAACATCACAATTAAAAGAACTAGAAAAGCAAGAGCAAACACATTCAAAAGCTAGCAGAAGGCAAGAAATAACTAAAATCAGAGCAGAACTGAAGGAAATAGAGACACAAAAAACCCTTCAAAAAATCAATGAATCCAGGAGCTGGTTTTTTGAAAGGATCAACAAAATTGATAGACCGCTAGCAAGACTAATAAAGAAAAAAAGAGAGAAGAATCAAATAGACACAATAAAAAATGATAAAGGGGATATCATCACAGATCCCACAGAAATACAAACTACCATCAGAGAATACTACAAACACCTCTACGCAAATAAACTAGAAAATCTAGAAGAAATGGATATATTCCTTGACACATACACTCTCCCAAGACTAAACCAGGAAGAAGTTGAATCTCTGAATAGACCAATAACAGGAGCTGAAATTGTGGCAATAATCAATAGTTTACCAACCAAAAAGAGTCCAGGACCAGATGGATTCACAGCCGAATTCTACCAGAGGTACAAGGAGGAACCGGTACCATTCCTTCTGAAACTATTCCAATCAATAGAAAAAGAGGGAATCCTCCCTAACTCATTTTATAAGGCCAGCATCATTCTGATACCAAAGCCAGGCAGAGACACAACCAAAAAAGAGAATTTTAGACCAATATACTTGATGAACATTGATGCAAAAATCCTCAATAAAATACTGGCAAAACGAATCCAGCAGCACATCAAAAAGCTTATCCACCATGATCAAGTGGGCTTCAACCCTGGGATGCAAGGCTGGTTCAATATACGCAAATCAATAAATGTAATCCAGCATATAAACAGAGCCAAAGACAAAAACCACATGATTATCTCAATAGATGCAGAAAAAGCCTTTGACAAAATTCAACAACCCTTCATGCTAAAAACTCTCAATAAATTAGGTATTGATGGGACGTATTTCAAAATAATAAGAGCTATCTATGACAAACCCACAGCCAATATCATACTGAATGGGCAAAAACTGGAAGCATTCCCTTTGAAAACTGGCACAAGACAGGGATGCCCTCTCTCACCACTCCTATTCAACTTAGTGTTGGAAGTTCTGGCCAGGGCAATTAGGCAGGAGAAGGAAATAAAGGGTATTCAATTAGGAAAAGAGGAAGTCAAATTGTCCCTGTTTGCAGACGACATGATTGTATATCTAGAAAACCCCATTGTCTCAGCCCAAAATCTCCTTAAGCTGATAAGCAACTTCAGCAAAGTCTCAGGATACAAAATCAATGTACAAAAATCACAAGCATTCTTATACACCAATAACAGACAAACAGAGAGCCAAATCATGAGTGAACTCCCATTCACAATTGCTTCAAAGAGAATAAAATACCTAGGAATCCAACTTACAAGGGATGTGAAGGACCTCTTCAAGGAGAACTACAAACCACTGCTCAAGGAAATAAAAGAGGATACATACAAATGGAAGAACATGCCATGCTCATGGGTAGGAAGAATCAATATCGTGAAAATGGCCATACTGCCCAAGGTAATTTACAGATTCAATGCCATCCCCATCAAGCTACCAATGACTTTCTTCACAGAATTGGAAAAAACTACTTTAAAGTTCATATGGAACCAAAAAACAGCCCGCATCGCCAAGTCAATCCTAAGCCAAAAGAACAAAGCTGGAGGCATCACACTACCTGACTTCAAACTATACTACAAGGCTACAGTACCCAAAACAGCATGGTACTGGTACCAAAACAGAGATATAGATCAATGGAACAGAACAGAGCCCTCAGAAATAACGCCGCATATCTACAACTATCTGATCTTTGACAAACCTGAGAAAAACAAGCAATGGGGAAAGGGTTCCCTATTTAATAAATGGTGCTGGGAAAACTCGCTAGCCATATGTAGAAAGCTGAAACTGGATCCCTTCCTTACACCTTATACAAAAATCAATTCAAGATGGATTAAAGATTTAAACGTTAGACCTAAAACCATAAAAACCCTAGAAGAAAACCTAGGCATTACCATTCAGGACATAGGCATGGGCAAGGACTTCATGTCCAAAACACCAAAAGCAATGGCAACAAAAGCCAAAATTGACAAATGGGATCTAATTAAACTAAAGAGCTTCTGCACAGCAAAAGAAACTACCATCAGAGTGAACAGGCAACCTACAAAATGGGAGAAAATTTTCGCAACCTACTCATCTGACAAAGGACTGATATCCAGAATCTACAATGAACTCAAACAAATTTACAAGAAAAAAACAAACAATCCCATCAAAAAGTGGGCGAAGGACATGAACAGACACTTCTCAAGAGAAGACATTTATGCAGCCAAAAAACACATGAAAAAATGCTCATCATCACTGGCCATCAGAGAAATGCAAATCAAAACCACAATGAGATACCATCTCACACCAGTCAGAATGGCAATCATTAAAAAGTCAGGAAACAACAGGTGCTGGAGAGGATGTGGAGAAATAGGAACACTTTTACACTGTTGGTGGGACTGTAAACTAGTTCAACCATTGTGGAAGTCAGTGTGGCGATTCCTCAGGGATCTAGAACTAGAAATACCATTTGACCCAGCCATCCCATTACTCGGTATATACCCAAAGGACTATAAATCATGCTGCTATAAAGACACATACACACGTATGTTTATTGCGGCATTATTCACAATAGCAAAGACTTGGAACCAACCCAAATGTCCAACAATGATAGACTGGATTAAGAAAATGTGGCACATATACACCATGGAATACTATGCAGCCGTAAAAAATGATGAGTTCATGTCCTTTGTAGGGACATGGATGAAATTGGAAATCATCATTCTCAGTAAACTATCGCAAGAACAAAAAACCAAACACCGCATATTCTCACTCATAGGTGAGAATTGAACAATGAGATCACATGGACACAGGAAGGGGAATATCACACTCTGGGGACTGTTGTGGGGTGGGGGGAGGGGGGAGGGATAGCATTGGGAGATATACCTAATGCTAGATGATGAGTTAGTGGGTGCAGCGCACCAGCATGGCACATGTATACATATGTAACTAACCTGCACAATGTGCACATGTACCCTAAAACTTAAAGTATAATAAAAAATAATAATAATAAAATCTTAAAAAAAAAAAAAAGAGTTGCAGTTGCTATGCTACGCTTTCAATGTCTCCACATTCTTGCCAACACTTGTTATTATCTGTCTTTGTAATGATTGACATCGTAGTGGGTATGAAGTGGTATCTCACTGTAGCTTTGATTGGCATTTCCCTGATGGTTAATGATATTGAGCATCTTTTTATGTGCTACTTGGCCATTTGTATGTCTTCTTTAGAAAATGTCTGTTTAGATTGCGTGGCTCTATTTCTGAACTCTCTTTTCTATGCCACTAATCTCAGTGTCTATCCTTGTATCAATACTCTTTTGACTACTGTAGTGCTACAGTAAACCTAGAAATCAGGTAATATGCCTTTCCATTGTGTTCTTCACTTTCAAAATTGTTTTGGCTATTCTAGTTACTCTGCTTCCTATATAAATTTTAAAATCAGCTTGTTGGTTGCTACCAAAAAATCTGCTGAGATTTTTATTGGAAATGCACTAATTTTAAGATTAGTTTGGGAATGACTGAAATCTTAATAATATTGAGATTTTTTCATTCCATGAACATAGCATATATCTTCATTTATTTCTGTCTTCTTTGATGTCTTTGATTACTGTTTTCTAGTATGTCAAAGTATATATTTAGCTCACAATTTGTTCGATTTCTATATATTTCATGGTTTTCCTTTATGGTGCTTTTTTGTTTCAAAATTTCTATTTCCAATTTTTCACTGCCAGTGTATAGAAATGAAACTGATGTGCACATATTGATCTTGTATCTTTTAACATTGTAAAACTCATTTATTAGATCTAGGAGTTTTGTTTGTTTGTTTTGTAGATTCCTTGGGGTTTTCTACACAGACAATCACATCTCTGCAAATAGAGACAGTGTTATATTTTTCTTTCCAATCTTGTTTGCCTTTTATTTCTTTTTCTTGCCTGTTACACTTGCTAAGACCTCTAGTACTAAGTTGAGTAAGAGTCATGAGAGTAGATATCCCTACCTTATTCCCAGTTTTGGGATCTGTCATTCTTAAGTTAGATGTTAGCTGCAGGTTTTTCATAGGTACCTTTTATCAGGTTAAGAAAGGTCCCTTGTATTCCTAGCTTGCTCAGAGGTTTTTTTGTTTTTTGGTTTTTTTAAATCAAGAATGAATGCTGAATTGGGTCAAATGCTTTTTCTGCATCTATTGAAATGATTATATGGTTTTTCTTCTTTAGCCTATTGATATAAGTGAATAACACTGATTTATTTTCAAATGTCAAAGCAGCCTTGCATTCCCAAAATACGTCCCACGTAGTCATGCAACATTATCCTTTCAAATTTATATATTGTTGGATTTGATATGCTAGGACTTGTTGAGGCTTTTTTAGTCTATATCCATGAGGGACACTCGTCTGCAATTTTCTTTTCTGTAATATTTTCATCCGGTTTTGATATCATGGTAAGCAAATGACATAAATTAGCTGGAAAGTATTGCCTTCACTTATATATTCTGGAAAGTTTATGTAGAATTTATATATTTTTTCCTTCCTTCCTTCTTTCCCTTCCTTCCTTCCTTCTTTCCTTTCCTTCCTTCCTTCTCTTTCTTTCTTCCTTTCTTTCCTTCACTTTCTTTCCTTCTTTCTTTTTCTTTCTCTCTCTCCTTCCTTCTCTCTTTCTCTATCTCTCTCTGTCTTTCTCTCCTTCCTTCTTTCCTTTTCTTTACTTTACTTTACTCTACTTTATTTTCTGACAGAGTCTTGCTCTGTCACTGGCTGGAGTGCAGTGGTACAATCTGAGCTCACTGCAACCTCTGCCTCCTAGGCTCAGGCAATTCTTGTGCCTCAGCCTCCCGGGTAGCTGAGATTACAGGTGCACACCACCATGCCTGGCTAATTTTTTTGATATTTTTAGTAGAGATAGGGTTTCATTATGTTGGCTAGGCTGGTCTCAAACTCATTACCTCAAGTGATCGGCTCGCCTCAGCCTCCTGAAGTGCTGGGATTACAGGCATGAGCCACTGTGCCCAGTCTTATTATTTTTTTCTTAAATATTTGGTAGAATTTGCCATTTTGGCCTCAAATTTTCTCTATTGAAAACTTTTAAACTATGAATTCAATTTTGTCAACTAATACAGGAGTATTCAGGTTATTTATTTCAAGTAAGCTTTGGCAATTTATGACTTTCAAGTGTTTGTCGATTTCACCTAAGCTTCTAAATTTATAGACAGTGAGTTGCTTATAATATTATTTTATATCCTTGTAATGTCTGTAGTGATTTGTAATGATGTAGCCTCTTTGATTCTTGTATCTGTGTTCTCTCTCTCCCTTGTTTTTCTTGGTCAGTCTAGTTAGATGGTTATCTTTATCAAACATATTAATCTTTATAAAAATCAGCTTCAGTTTGACTGATTTTCTGAAGTGTTCTTCTCAATTCCATTTATTTCTGTTCTTATTTCCTTGCTTCTGCTTGCTTTGGGTTTTTCTCTTTTTTCCTAGTATCTAAAGATAGAAGCTTAGATCATTGACAGACTTGTTTTCTAGTATAATATGCCATGAATTTTAAATCTATTTTGAAATAAGAGCATGCAAAGGCAAAAAAGAAAAGCATAATATTTTTTCTATATTAAATTTTGTTTATAGTTTTAGAATATTAACTGCCATGTAGAAAATGTAATGAATAAATAATTTAAAATCAAAAGAAACTTGACTGACAAAAATCCAATGTCTGTCTCTACTTCCTTTCCCAAACATTCTCACCTTGCCATATCTCCCAATAAGCATGTCGACTTTTAACTAAATTTCATCTAAGAATCAAGAAAGTGAGATGTTTGTACATATTCTCTTAAATGAAACAGCCCAGACTGTTATTGTAAATTCCTCAAGAATGGTGATATAATCCCAAACCATAAAAAGACAATAAAAATTAAGGTATTTTCTCAATCTAAGGGCTAGGAAAAAGAAAAACAAAACACACAAAAAAACTTTGCAAACATTATTCCACTTCTGAAAGACAAAGCATGCATACATGAGCAGGTTTATAAAAGCTTCACTGGAAAAATGGAACCTAAAAATGTTAAATAACTTGTGCAAGCTACCTATCAAGTTAGCACTACAACTGGAAGTCTAATTCAGTTCTGAGTTTAAGCGTAATGTATTTTTCCCATTAAATTATATTCCCCTCCGATAGATCTTATCAAGTTGAAATTATTTTGCCTTTGGGAGTAAATTACGGACAAGAAGAAACACCTTATCCAAAGAAAATTAGTTTCTACAATACCTATATATTGATATCTAGGAGCTGTTTTGCTGATTAATTTCAATTGGAGTATAAGGTATTAGTTTTAGGTGTTGTGTATTTTGCTATACTAGAAAGAATGTGTTGGGCCCGTAAAAAGTAAGCACCCAATTCTCAGTAATGTGAGAGCCAGTAAGAAGGGAGTCCTTGTTTTATGAAGTGGCCACAACGGAAGACTATGCCCCTGTTCTTCACCAGAGAATCAGGGACAAATAAACTCTGTCCAGAGAGTAGAGCTGCCGCAGGAGACACGTTGCTTATTTCTATGATGCATGGAGGTCCATGTAAATTCCTAAGCCTTCCCCCAGCAAATAACTTGAAGTGGGAAAGGAAGAAACCACGTAACAGTAGCAGCCAAGCTGTGGTATCAATGCATACGCTACCATTACATCCAATACTATCAATCACATCCACATGGTTGGACCATAAAAGTACACTTTCAGACCAAAGATGAAGAAGATTAGGACAAGTTGTTGGTGCTGTTTTTTTTCTTATCAGTGCTCCTAATAAATAAATCTCTATCTAAAAACATTGGGTATCAGGAAAGCCTAATTCAATTGGACCAGATAAATGGGTAAATGAGAATTAGGCCCAGCTTTTACCCTTTTGTAGTCATTTACCCACTGCCTATCAGCTACAAGTCCACCCTTCTGTATTCTGCTCAAAGATGTAAGGGCTGAGAATCTGCAGACTACATATCCCAAACTCCCTTGCCCACTGGCTTTCAGGTTAGGTTCTGCCCATGAGTAATAGTGATGTACAGTTGGAAGGCAGAAGAATGGAAGAAGGAATTCCATTGCCAGCACCAGCTATATCGTTAACTCCTGAAAAATACTAATACTAGCCAGGCTAACAAGTACCAGCACCAATGATGTGGTCCTCCCCACCTGCTCCAAGATCTGGGTATCTCTTCAGAAGTGTGGAACTAAACAGTTGTCCCCTGCCCTGACAGTTCTTTCTAAACACTAGCTGCTATGAGGATCCTCATAATTCTAAGCAACCAGGATGCAGCCCTCTTCAGAGATCCCTGCATCAGCTCCTCAGACCTCCTCTGAGTTCCTAGACTCTGGTAACAATACTTCTTTCATTTTATTTCTCCAGTCCCATAGGCCATAGCTGTTTCCTACTACTTGGGTTACTCCAATCATAATATCTCCTTTCTGCTCTCTCAACCTTCTAACACATTGTAAGCCAATTATCTGCATTAAAATGCTTCTGTTTAAAAAGTTTAGCATGCTTCCTGTTTCCCAGCCTGGTCTGAGACTGAAAAAGTCATCTGCCTCTAACTAGAACACACTCTCCCATCTCACTTCCTGCCGCTCTCCATCCCACATTGAAACTGTCCTAACTCAGGACCATCTAAAAAGAGAACTGTTCATCTTAAAGGAAGAGAGTAACCCTAAATAAAACAGATAAAAACATATGAGGTACATTTAGGTGGACAATGCTTGCAAATGAGTAAGTTAGATTCTGGATATAATGTGGGGTAAAATTGTGTAAGATTTTTGAAATGGACAAAATGATAACTGAACATCATTTCAATAGAATGGCTGGAACATCTGGGAATTGGGTGACAACATAGAAGTGTGTGCCTTTGTCTTTGACTAGGCTAGTTTACAACTCTCAACATATATAACATAATGGCAATGCAAAGTTTACTGTCCATAGCTATGCAAATGACTCCCATTCATGGTAGTGCAAATGAATTGCCAGGTAAAGAAAATAAATCTCTAAATCAAATCCTTATTTTGATTGGCTCTAATACCTTATTGGTGCTCCATGTGAAAATAAAACCTAAAAGCTGTTGGAATAAAAAAAAACAACAACACTTTAAGTCTTGAGAGAGACGTGACTGTTATCTGAGTCACATATGGTTACAACTTCTGTTCTTGGATTATACATTAAATCACATTTTTCTTGTTTTGTACGATAACTAGAGAGAATTAAATGATGTCAAGGACCAAAACCTCCTGCCTTCTTCATTAATGACCCTTGTTATAGGTTAACATCCCTTTTGTCATTCTGCTTCACTTAGACCAGATAACAGAAAACCTACGATTATTGTACCCTCTATAAAAAAAGTTAAAAAAAATTTTTAACATCCCCCCGCCGAAAAAAGCACTGCCTATAACCAACCAAACTGCTGTAACTATGCACCAGCCCTGTATGAATAATGTCATAATCCTGCTAAAAACTCCTGTGCCTCTGCCTATATAAATGAAATCTTAACTTCCCTACTTTGGACCACTGACTGCATTCCTTTAGAGGTGGTGTTTCTGGGTGGTCCATGCTCATATTTTGCTATTGAATAAATTACCTTTAAATTAGATTCTGACCCTTTTGATTATTTTATGTTGACATTCATTAATGAGTTAAATAAGTTCTCTGAAATGTGTTCATTTTATGTGATATGTGTAAGGATACATAAAATGAAATTTTCTTTGCTTAAAAAGGAGAAGCAGCTGGCCATTCAGGGTTTATCTCCTTAAAAACAATAACAGGCCCAATACTTTGGTCCAAATTTGATAAACCTAATCTCCAGATTTTACAATGAAAAATCATCAGTATTCCAACCGTTGGAACTGTAAATACATATTTCCTAAATTACAACTAAGGAAACTCTCAAGATGCATACAGACTATCATAAGGAGCATCCACTTTTCTCTTGAAAGGATAAAAGAGGTTTAAATTATTCTTTCTTCTACTGAACTGTGAAATTCCGCCCAGACTTTGTAGTCTCCCCTGGACTACCCGCATGCATGTAATCTGAGTGCATATTCAACAATAAATTGAATTTCTATGTCTATACTAATATGGGGAAGTATTTTGTTGGCAGGATTTTTTCATTACACCAACATATGATAGTCATAATTACCATTTTAAAAAATGTATCATAAATATAAAAAGTACTTAATATAATAAATATAAACAGAGTACTTTTTTTGTAATTCCACATAAAATACGCCAAAATTTAAAGTAATACTTTTAGTCAGAAAGAATGAAACAAGCTGTGTCAGTTAACAATCAGCGTAAAATGAGAAATTCTAAACTATACAGCCCATTTTAGTGGTAATAGACTTGGTTTTAAAAAAACATAACCCTTTAACAGTAGACATTTAAATGCATTGGCAATATAGCATAAAATTGACTGTGCTAAATGATGTGAAATAATAAGACAAATAATACGGTCTGAGTGAAATAATAAGACAAAGACATCTTCTAAAAGCAAGTTAAATAAAACCATACTTGGGGGGAAGACCTAGCCAAACATAAAGAGTATCTATAAATTATATTTTAATTTTTAAGTTTTTAAACAATATTAAGATATTAAGATAGATTTTAATATTAATCCTTTAAAACCTATTTTAACACACAGATTTTAATACAACAAATTAACATCAACTATGTAAATATAGAATTTTCAGTATGAAAAATAAAATTTTACCATTTTCCTAGCAACTCTCCCCAAGAATACAGGATCTTCTCAGGACAATCCTTAGACACATCACCTGTTCCACTTGAGAGTTCATTATCACTCTCTGCAGAAGAAACGCAAAAACCAACAAACATTATTTTATATATTACAGTAGATACTTTATATATCATACAATAAACATGACTCCATGTCTAATAAAACCAGCTTCTCTTCATATTATTACATGCATTGCAAAAATAACAGTAAGAATTTCATTAATTTATCTTCAGTGCCTAGATATTTTAAAAGAACAAACTTTTATGAAAATCTCATATACAGTTTACATAACATGAAATTGAAAATATAAATAAATAGCTGTATCCAAAGACTAATGTTTAAAGGCTAATGGTAGCACAACTGGAAATTCCCATATGGTGTTCTACTCACCAGATATTCTCAAATTTTATTAATGGGACCAACAAACATAAAAATTAAGGGCCAAACATATATACCTAAATATAACACTGAGAAACATACATATTATGATATAAACACACAAACAACCGGAAATGTAAAAAAAAAAAAAAAAAGTTAGGTTTCTTAAGATGTATTTGTAAAAAAAAAAAAAAAAAAAAAAAAGGTATTTTTAACTAAAGGAAAATTGAAACTGGCCTTTTTATATGGCAATTTTACAAACACCTCAAAATGTAAAATAATAGTTTAAGAAACAATATGGGTTGATTTACAGTTTATAATCGGTGGTGAAAACGACCAATACTAAACTCTATAAACCTTTTAAGCAGTAGCAGAGGTAGTAGAGAAAGGAAAGAAAGAACAATAGACACAATGTACCTATTATAAAATAGTCTTTGACACAGTACTACATAAGAAAAGGCTGGAGAAGTACTATCGGAATAAAATAAGATAGCTGAAAATCTATCTGGCAGATAACAAGTACCAAAGTTTTATCAACACTGTGACAGTATAAGAGGGATTGGCATTTAGTGGCTCCCACGGGGATCTGTGTTAAGAACAGTAGTATTACTTAGCATACCACAAAATCCAATGATCCAAGTATATGCAACATCAGAAAACATTAATGTAATAAGTAATGGTTTATTTGGCCAGGTTAAAACATTAGGTCACAGCCATACAAAAAAGATTTGATGACACATTTAGTAAAATATAACCAAAATATGTCCACATACAGAGACAAATGTTTCATCATCTTTAAAGCAATACTAGGTAAATAAGAATTATAAGGGACATTTAATGCAAAAAGTGAACATCATTCTGTTAATTAAAATGAAGGCAAAGAGAGTACACACTAGCATGACTGTTCTAGAAATACCTCACATAAGCAACTGTATGAAGCTTGTAATAAGTTCATCATGAAAATAACAGATATTTTAAAAGTTAAAGCAAATGAAATATTACTACTATAGAAGTAATGTAAATAGAAACAACTGAATGATATAAATAGAAACAACTAAAGCTTTAGTGTTACAATACCCTGAGGAACTATCCCATGTAAACAACTATCTTTTATAACATTTATAATTTTTTATTTAAACTGAGGCACTTTTTATAGTGAAAGAGGACTATTAAAAATTATTCTTGGTCAAGTGCAGTGGCTCAGGCCTGTAATCCCAGCACTTTGGGAGGCCAAGGAGGGCCTGAGCTCAGGGGTTTGAGACCAGCCTGGGCAACATGGTAAAACCCTGTTTCTATCAAAATTACAAAAAATTAGCTGGGCATGGTGGCGTACTCCTATAGTCCCAGCTACTCAGGAGGCTGAGATGGGAGGATCACTTGAGCCTGGGAGGCCACAGTTGCAGTGAGCCAAGATTGTGCCACTGCACTCCAGCCTGAGTGACAGAGTGAGACCTCATCTCAAAAAAAAAAATTATTCTGGAAGACAGGTTAAACTTAGACTATGTCACGCAAACAAGGACTGATAGTTGGCCCACTTATAAATTGGTACCAAGTATAGGTACTTATAAATTGGTATTCAATTAAGCAGGATCCAAGATCATCCCATCTAATACTCTATTCTGATCCACAGTAACTAATAATGTGCCAAGGTTTCAGGCTATTTGATTATGTTGTACATGCCAAATTAGAGACCAAAATCTAGGAACACAATGAAAACAAAAAAGAGAAAAGGAAATAAACATTCCTAGATATTATAAATCTTGATTATAATAAAAATTAGACAATAATACTGATGACAGAAAATCTTTCAAATTCATAATACTCTTGTAGGGAAAGGAATTCCTAAGCATAAGAACAAAATCAAGTTACCATTAAAAAGATTTAAAAATCTGACTACCTATAATTTTAAAAAATCTATGACGGTATAGAGTATGTATATTTTTTAAAAGCAAAAAAATTTCCAACATTTGACAAATGGCTATTTTCACTAATATACCACAATCTTACTAATCAATAGAATAAAGAAAAATCCAATAGAAAACTGAGCTAAGGATATCGACACAGTACAGGTCACAATATGTAAAACATGACTAAAATAAAAATGTTATAGAAAACCCCATTTCATGAATCTTTTAAATGCAAATTAAAACAATGAAACGTATCTACCAATTACATTGACAGAGAGTATAAAAATTGATAATACCTAGTTTTCCTAAAAGCATAAGGAAACAGGTAAGAAGGCTGATGTTTAAATAAGAACAATCTTTTTGAATTTATTAAGATGCTAAGTTAATATATCATTTGATCAAATTTATTCTCCAGAAACACATACTCGAAAGACATATTTGTAACAGGATTCTTAGTGTATCACTGCTTGTAATAGTAAGAAACTGAACTATCAGCAATCCATCAATATGTTTTACTAACTAAATTATGGTATATTCAAGAGTATTCCAGAGAACACTATCAAGTAATTTAAAGGAATGGGATAAATTGGTCTATGCTGGCAACCACGGGTGGGAGGACAAGGATGCTGCCCGGCAGTCTGCTTGCGTGTGTGCATGAGAGATGGCAGGCCTCCAACTCTGGCCTTCCGCACTGACTGTTCTAGCACCACATTTCCAGCCATGAACCAGTTTGGTACCCAGTTGGTAGAAGCCACAGTGACCTTGTCACAGCTGCTGAAAGCTCGCAGCAACAAACACCTTGACAAAATTGGTATGTCTTTGGCTGGTGTCATCAAACTGAATTGAAAGAAAGGAAAAAAGCAGAATTTTCCAAAACTAAACAGAAGACTCCAGCAATTTAGGATGAGAATACAATGGGTACTCCAACAGAATTCTGGTTTTGGTAAAACCAGTCTAAGCTGCAGAGGAAGAGTAATGCCTGGAAAGAGACATCCTTATGGATAATCACTGGACTTGCAGTTAGAAAATCATCTGGAATTGGAAAAGGAATTAGTCCTATGTATGTATTGTCCACGTCTAAGTGACAAGAATACAGAACACTATTTTCCAGTGTTAAAAAGAAAGGCAAGCCTTCTGAAACAAAATGAAGTGCATAGGAAACCAGTTGCAGTTCTCAAGAGACCTAACCAGCTAAACAGAAAAAATAACATTATGTCCAGTTTTACCAGGAGAGGAAATAAATTAAGCCATCAGAAAGACACTTCACAGGTAACTTTTCTTTTCGGAAGAGGCCTGAAGAAGGTTCAGGCCCAGTTGAACACGGAACAACTGCTAGATGTAGTAGCAAAGAGAACTAGTCAATGCCAGACATCTATCACAAACGCAGGAATCTGACTGTATCTATTGATAACCCTGGAGCAGTACAATGCCCAGCAACTGAGAAACCATGATTAATTCATACTGCTATACCTTCATTCTTTAAAACACGGCAGCAAGAGAATGTAAAGAAAGTTCCAACGGGTGTTCCCCTACAATTTGACATAAATAGTGTTGGAAAACAGACAGAGATGGCTTTGAATGAGCACTTTGGGATCCTGAGAAAACAAACAGCCACTCTCACATATAACAAAGGAGGAAGTCACTTTTTAACTGTGGAATAAATCCCATGTTACAGGGACTATTGTGTGACGACTGTGTTTGAAAAGCTGAATTGCTTGAAGAGTTCTTCACAGAAATTCAGAAACTTTACTTCAAAATTTTATAAGGCTAAGTAACACCTATTTTTCAAGGTTTAAAAAAAAGGATAAAATAATGCCCTGAAAGAATAACAGGGAGTATACGTAACTGTTCTTAGACTTCACAAATGGCTCAGGCAGAACCATTATCTGTTTGACTTCTTTAGTTCCTTGAGCAGAAGAAAATGGCAGAAAGATACTGTTAGTGCTAAACTTCTTTTTTTTTTTTTTTTTTTTTTTTTTTTTCCTGGAGACGGAGTCTGGCTCTGTCACCCAGGCTGGAGTGCAGTGGCACCATCTCGGCTCACTGCAACCTTCACCTTCTGGGTTCAAGTGATTCTCCTGTCTCAGCCTCCGAAGTAGCTGGGACTACAGGGGCCCGCCACCAAACCCGGCTAATTTTTTTTTTATATTTTTAGTAGAGATGAGGTTTCACCATTTTGGCCAGGTGGGTCTCAAACTCCTGACCTCAAGTGATCTGTCCACCTCAGCCTCCCAAAGTGCTGGGATTACAGGCATGAGCCACCGTGCCCAGCCTAGTGCTGAACTTTTAACAAGAAATGTGGTTGCAGGAATTAGTCTCAGTTTAAAATGTTGGTGTTTAAAGGCTGTAAATGCATATTTACAAAGTTGTCCCATAGGGCCTTGGAGGAGAAGGTCCAATGTAAAAATCTGAAAATTTGGTTAGTAAAAGAAAGCATAAGAGGAAGTAGTAACTTGAAGGACAGATAACTGAGATGAAAAACTCAAAACTCAGGTCCTAGGTATACTGTTTGGATTTAGTGTAGTCTTGAGTCTAGTGTCCACAAATAATTCTTCAAATGATGTTTAGAAGAATTATAATTATTAAAATGAATTCAGTAACCTGGATATTTTGATAGTAAAATTAATAGCCATAAAGTGCTAGACTTCTTGAGAAGTTAAATTTTATAAGCTTTAGAGTTTGCTAAATTAAATAATTTATAGATCCAAAGACAAAAATATACTGGTATTTGTCACCAAAAAAAAATCAAAATTTATAATAGAGTTACATTGTAACCTTGTTGTTTACCTTCACTCTGATTTCTGGTATGGTATAAATTAAAGTTCAGAGGGCAGAGTAAGATGGCAGAATAGAAGCCTACACCAATCACACCCCCACACTCCCTGGAACACCAAATTTTAACAACCATCTGCACAAAGAAAAACACTGTCATAAGAACCAAACATCAGGTGAGCAATCACAGCGCATGGTTTTAACTTTGTATTACCAAAAGAGGCATTGAGGAAGGATGGAGAGACAGTCATGAGTTGCTGATACCACCCCACCCACATCCCTCAGCAGCCACCGTGTGGTGCAGAAAGGCAATTTGTACACTTTGGGGATAAGGAACACAGCAACTGGGGGACTTCACATTGAATTCACTGCTGCCCTGTCACAGCGGAGGATAGAGCCATCCTAGGTTCAGCTAGCTCCCACACACAGAGGGAGCATTTGGACCAGCCCTAGCCAGCAGGGAAACATCCATCGCAGCAGATGGAACTTGAGTTGCTCAGCAAGCCTCAACACTGCGGGCTGAAATGCTCTGGGATCCTAGGTAAACTTGAAAGGCATCTAGAATGCAAAGACTGCAATTCCTAGGCAACTCCTAGCACTAGCCTTGGCTTAGAGCTAGTGAAATAGGGTGGCAGGTGCCCAGCAACTGAGAAACCATGATTAATTCATACTGCTGTACCTTCATTCTTTAAAACACGGCAGCAAGAGAATGTAAAGAAAGTTCCAACGGGTGTTCTCCTACAATTTGACATAAACAGTGTTGGAAAACAGACAGAGATGGCTTTGAATGAGCACTTTGGGATCCTGAGAAAACAAAGAGTCACTCTCACATATAACAAAGGACGAAGTCACCAGCTAGCATGGTTAAGGGAGTGCTTGCGTCACCACTCCCCCAACTCCAGGCAGTGAAGCTCCCAGCATGAAAGTGTCTCCTTCTTTCTGCTTAAGGAGAGGACAGCAAAGAGTAAAGAGGACTCTGTCTTGCATCTTGGACACCAGGTCACTCACAGTAGAATAAGGTAATGGGCAGAGTCGTGAGGCCTCAATTCCAGGCCCCAGCTCCTGGATAACATTTCTAGACACACCCTGGGCCGAAAAGGATCCCACTGCCTTGAGGGAAGAACCCAGTCCTGGAAGCATTTATCATCTGCCAACTAAAGAACTCTTGGGCCCTGAACAACCACCACTGATACCCATGGAGTACACCATTGACCTTGGGCTCTGAGACATGCTCGTTTCAGGGGTGACCCAGCACAATCCAAAATAAATAAAATTGGAGATAAAAAAGAGACATTACAATGGATACTGAAGAAATTCAAAGGATCATTTGTGGCTACTATGAGCAACCATATGCCAATAAATGGAAAAATCTAGAAGAAATTAATAAATTCCTAGACATATACAACCTACCAACATTGAACCATGAAGAAATCCAGGCCGGGCGCGGTGGCTCACGCCTGTAATCCCAGCACTTTGGGAGGCCGAGGCGGGTGGATCACGAGGTCAGGAGATCGAGACCATCCCGGCTAAAACGGTGAAACCCCGTCTCTACTAAAAATACAAAAAATTAGCCGGGCGTAGTGGCGGGCGCCTGTAGTCCCAGCTACTTGGGAGGCTGAGGCAGGAGAATGGCGTGAACCCGGGAGGCGGAGCTTGCAGTGAGCCGAGATCCCGCCACTGCACTCCAGCCTGGGCGACAGAGCGAGACTCCGTCTCAAAAAAAAAAAAAAAAAAAAAAAAAAAAAGGAAATCCAAAAGCTGAACAGAACAATAATAAGTAACAAGATCGAAGTCGTAATAAAGCCTCTAAGTAAAGAATAACTTGAGACTTGATGGCTTCACTGTTGAACTCTATCAAATATTTAAAGAACTAATACCAATCCTACTCAAACTATTCTGAAAAACAGAGGAAGAGGGAATACTTCCAGACTTACTCTAGAAGGTCAGTATTACCCTGATACCAAAAGACATATCAAAAAAGGGAAACTGTAGGCCAATATCAGTGATGTACACTGATCCAAAATTGGCAACAAAATACAAGCAAACATGAATTCAACAATACATTAAAAGAATCATTCATCATGACCAAATGGGATTTATCCCTGGGATGTAAGAATGGTTTGACATATGCAAATAAATCAATGTGATCCATCATATCAACAGAATGAAGTACAAAAACCATATGAGCATTTCAATTAATGCTGAAAAAGCACTCAATAAACTTCATCATTCCTTCATAATAAAAACCCTCAAAAAATGGGGATAGAAGAAATATACCTCAATATAACAAAAGCCAAATATGACAGACCCACAGCTAGTATCATACTGAATGGGGAAAAACTGAAAGTCTTTCCTCTAAGATCTAGAACAAAACAAGGATGCCCACTGTCACCACTGTTAACCAACAAAGTACTGAAAGTTCTAGCTAAAGCAGTCATACAAGAGAAAGAAATAAAGGACATTCAACCTAGGAATACAGCTAACTAGGGAAATGAAAGATCTCTACAAGGAGAACTACAAACCACTGCTCAAAGAAATCAGAGATGAAAAAACAAATGAAAAACATTCCATGCTCATATACAGGAAGAAGCAATATTGTGAAAATGGCCAAACTGCCCAGTGCAATTTACATATTCAATGCTATTTCTATTAAACTACCATTGACATTCTTCAAAGAACTACAAAAAAACTATTTTAAAATTCATATGGAACCCCAGAAAAGCTTGAATAGCCAAGGCAATCCTAAGCAAAAAGAAACAAAGCTGGAGACATCATGCTACATTACTTCAAACTATACTACAGGGCTATGGTAACCAAGACAGCATGGCACTGATATAAGAACAGACACATAGACCAATGGAACAGAATAGAGAACCCAAGAATAAGACCACACATCTACAACTATCTGCAACAAACCTGACAAAAACAAGCAATGGGGAAACGATTCCCTATTCAATAAATGGCACTGGGATAACTGGCTAGCCATATGCAGAAGATTAAAACTGGACCCCTTCCTTACACCATGCACAAAAATCAACTCAAGATAGATTATTGACTTAAATGTAAAACCCAAAACTATAAAAATCCTTGAAAACAACCTCAGCAATACCATTCGAGACATCGGCACAAATATTTCATGATGAAGATGCCAAAAGCAACTGCAACAGAAGCAAAAATTGATAAATGGTATCTAATTAAACTAAAGAGCTTCTGGCACAGCAAAAACAACAACAACAAAACACTATCAACAGAGTAAACAGACAATTTACAGAATGGGAGAACATTTTTGCAATTTATGCATCTGACAAAAGTCTAATATCCAGCATCTATAAGGAACTTAAATAAATTTACAAGAGAAAAACAACCCCATTAAAAAGTGGGCAAAGGACATGAACGAACATCTCTCAAAAAAAGACATACATGGGGCCAAGAATCAATGAAAGAAACCTCAACAACACTGATCATTAGAGAAATGCAAATCAAAACCACAATGAGATACCATTTCACACCAGTCAGAATGGCTATTATTAAAAAGTCAAAAATAACACATGCTGGCAAGGTTGTGGAGAAAAAGAAATGCTTATACACTGTTGGTGGGAGTGTAAGTTAGTTCTGCCTTTGTGGAAGACAGTGTGGCGATTCCTCAAAGACCTAAAGACAGAAATACCATTTGACCCAGCAATCCCATTACTGGGTATACCCAAAGAAATATAAATTGTTCTATTATAAAGACACATGCACACGGATGTTCACTGCAAAACGATTCACAATAGCAAAGACATGAAATCAACCTAAATGCCCATCAATGATAGACTGGATAAAGAAAATGTGGCACATACACACAATGGAATAATATGTAGCCATAAAAAAAATGAGATCATGTCCTTTGCAGGGACATGGATGGAGATGGAGACCATCATCCTTAGCAAACTAACGCAGGAACAGAAAACTGAATAGTGCATGTTCTCACTTGTAAGTGGGAGCTGAATGGTGAGAACACATGGGCACACAGAGGGGAACAATACACACTAGGGTCTATCGGATGGCTGAGGGTGAGAGGAGGCAGAGGATCAGGAAAAGTAATTAAAGGGTACTAGACTTAATACCTGGATGATTAAATAATCTGTACAACAAACCCCCATGACACACATTTACCTATGTAACAATCTGCACATGTACCACAGAACTTAGAATAAAAGTATTTTTTAAAAAAGTAAAAATAAAGGGCATTCATACTGAAAAGGAAGAAGTCACATTAAACTTGCTTGCAGATGATACGATCTTATGCTTGGAAAAAACTGAAGTCTCCACTAAAAAAACCACTAGAACTGATAAATTCAATAAAGTTTCAGGATACAAAATAAACATACAAAAATCAGTAGCATTTCTATATGCCAACAGTGAACAATTTAAAAAGGAAATCAAAAAAGTAATCCCATTTATAATAGCTACAAATAAAATTAAATACATACAAATTAACTTAACCAAAGAAGTGAAAGATCTCTATAATAAAAACTATAAAATGCCAATGAAAAAACTGAAAAGGATGCCAAAAAATACAAATATATTTCATGTTCATGGATTGGAAGAATCAATATCATTTAAATGTCCAGACTACCCAAAGCAATCTACAGATTCAATGTAATCCCTACCAAAATACCAATGACATTCTTCACAGAAATAGAAAAAACATGTTAAAATTTATATGAAATCACAATAGACTCAGAATAGTCAAAGCCATTCTGAGCAAAAAAAAAAAAAAACAAAACTGGAGCAATCACATTACTGACTTCAAATTATACCACAGAGCTACAGTAACCAAAACAGCATGGGACTTGCATGAAAAAAGACACAGAGACCAATGTGTGCAATGGTGCCATCTCGGCTCACTGCAAGCTCTGCCTCCCGGGTTCATGCCATTCTCCTGCCTCAGCCTCCCGAGTAGCTGGGACTACAAGCACTCACCACCATGCCCAGCTAATTTTTTGTATTTTTTAGTAGAGACGGCGTTTCACCGTGTTAGCCAGGATGGCCTCAATCTCCTGACCTTGTGATCCACCTGCCTTGGCCTCCCAAAGTGCTGGGATTACAGGCGTGAGCCACCACATCTGGCCAAAACATTTTTAAAAAATAAATTAAATGAATAAAAAAGGTAAATATCAAAGTCCAATATTAAGAGAGGAGATGAAAACTAGAAAAACTAGTTAATTAATTAATTAAAAATCAAGAATTTATGGGGAGAAAAGAGTTCCTCCCTCCACCTCTGATGGGATGGGAGGAGTCAGTCTGTTGTGCCAAGATACTGCTAAAAGTCCTCAGATGTTGTATACTGTAAATTACAGTATAATGCCAAATGCACCAAAATATCCCAGCTACAAGTTATATGTTGGGTCATTTTGAAGCTCGGCATATTAGTTTACTATAATGTTAAAAACATCTAAGTAAGCGTTAGTTTCTCTAGAGCATATTATTAGTGTTGACTTTTCCTGCAAAACAAAACATTATCATTCTTATTTTCATAAATAACATAACTTTTATGACTATACAGATCTTTTTAAAAAAACTGTAAGAAATAATGCCAAACTATTAATAGCAATTATGTTTCAGTACCTCCAACAGTATCTTATCACATAGCAAGCACTAAATACTTAGAGAATACTTCTTTTATTTCTGAGTTTTATATTTCTGAAATATTCTAATCTCTTATAAGTATGCATAATGATAAGCATGGCAAAAAAAAATTTTAACTTTTGAACAATCCCTATTGCTATATGAAACAAAAACCTATTACTATAAACCCCAACGATGTGCCATAAAATCTCACTGTTAACAACAATTATTGTCTTCCTGTCAATCTCCCAAATTATTTTCCACTACAAAAGGATATTAGAACTATAAAAACCTAGATTAGCAGAGGAGAACCACAGGAAAATAAAAGATAATAAGCACAATTTGAAGTAAAACCAGATCCCTGATGAACAAGTAAGGGAGAGGTAAAAGCAAATCAGGGGCCAAACAGTTGGATGGAAAAACAGTACTTGGCCAAAGAGGCTGGGAACCCCAGGCACTTATGAAATGTCTTCCTTTTTTATCTATATTCCACTCACTGTTCTCAATTTTAAAGGCATTAATCTATTTAATCCTCTAAAAACCTAATGAGGTAGTCACTATTAGTTTGCCCATTTTAAAAATGAGAAAATTGAGGCAGAGAGAGGTTAAGTAACTTGCCCAAGGTTACCGTGCTAATAAATGATAAAAGGTTAGAATTCAACCTGTGTTTGAATCCAGAGTCAAATACTACCTTCCCTCATAATTTTTCCCATCATGTTTTGTAAAGAAGGCTATATCTGGCATTCAGCAGACACCAGTCTGTGTGCCAAGTGCCAATATCCAGTAAATGTTGGGCACTCATGCCAAAAATAGAAAAGCTAGGCGCATTAAAGGAACATGCCCAAGAAACAGTAAATTGGGGGCAAGATTTAATTGAGAGACTTCAAGGGGTAAAATTCCCCTTGATGCCCAGAAAGAACAAAAATGAAATGAATATCCCAGTGACATCAAGCGTATGACCCAGATCTATCTTCCTCTCTGAAGAAACCAATAATCATGAGTGTTTTAAACACTTGGCAGCCTGCCAGAGAGGAAGAAAGGAGCTGAAGAAAAGTAAATTAAATTTCCTACTGTAGCAGATAAGACAAGTTTCTAGATAGGATGAATAAACTAAAAAGGAAATAAGAATGAAAAAGACACTGGAGACCAAAGTACAGTAAAAGACACACCGAGAAGGCTTGCAAGTAGAACATGACAAAGAAGATAACAGAAGGAACAATGCAACCGTGCAGATACGTAAAGGGGTAATTGAAGGTTTTGAAAAAGCAACTGTATCCCATTATACATAGAAAAAAATAGGGAGGACAAATAATAGAAAGAGGCTTAGCTAAATCCTACTTTTCCATCATAATTCAGGTTAGGGGTTACCCTCTTCTGGCTGGGTTAAATACTGCCCCCCTAGGCCCATACCATCATAGCACTTAGCACGTCATATTATAATTATAATTTTCCTCTACATTTTCTCCCATCATACTATGAGCTTCGTGATAGTAGTGGCCACTTTTATTTCTGTATTTCCAATGCTAGATTAGTACTTGGCCATAAGAGTATTCAAAATTTCCTGAATGAGTGAAGGGAGAGGACAAAGGAAAATCCATTAAAACTAGGAAAAATGTATGCCTTGGAAATAAATGAACTTTAGTATATAAGCATTTGTGTGCAGACATGGGTAAAAGGCAACTAGGTTCATTCAGTCTGTTAAAGTATACCCCTATCCAACAGACAAAATGGACTCCCTGTGGCTGAGATGCTCAAAGTAAAACAGAACCAGGAGGCCATCCTGGGTGAAGAAGCAGTCACGTACTCTGTGTTCTCAGAAAGATGTGAAAGTGTCACAGGCCCTCCCTTTCTACAATCAAGCCAAACCAGTTCCTGATGTCTGTGCCAAGATAAATAAACCAAAAACCCTACACCACCCGCCAGCCATTTGAAAGAAACATCTGACAGAGATCTCTGGTTTAGAGCTTGGAAATCAACCAATCAGGACTCACCTGCCACAGCCAATGAGGGCTCAGTTGTAGCAACGACTCAGAACTCCACTGTGCCAACTATTTGGAACTACATGAATTTAAATCTTTCATTTGCATAAATGGACCTGATTGGGAATTTGGGAAGCATATTTTTCTATAAAATCCAAACCTTCTCTTTGTTCTCTGAAATGCATTCTTCATTTTACACCGAAGGCTATGTTTCCCTGGTTTGCAAACTGTTCACTGGAAAAAAAAAAAAGTCTCTTTTCCTCGAATTCCTTTTTAGAGAATTTTGTTCGCCAGTCACTCATAATGCATAGGTCCCAAAGCCAAACGGCCTAGATTTGAAGCCCAGTTCCAACAGTTATTAGTTGTGATACTGGTCAAGGTATTTAACCTCTCTGTGCTTCAGTTGTCTGTATCTAACATGGGGACGATAACAGTACTTATCTTAGAGAGTGGCTGTAAGAAATAAGCAAGTTACTATATGTGAAACATGTTATTAGGGTGCCTGGCAAAGGGCAAGAGCTCTATAAATGTTAGCTATCATAAGCCATTATCATTTAACAAACTTGAATGCCTACTGGCACAGGTTTGAGGAATACATGAGAGGAAAGTGGAGACATTAAATGTATACTTTTCTTTACCCAACTCAGGAAATATAGAAAGATGAGAGACAGGTTAATATAGCTAAAGAGAATTGCAGAGTCAATTCAAGCCTTATGCTCCCTTTATCAACCTCCATTTCCTGGAAAACTGGCCAGTCCTTCCTTTTTGCTCCTATGTAGACTTCTACTATAATACATATAAAACTTTAATGAAAACATGTTTGGTTTTATTTACTTGTGTGTTTAATATCTACAACATTCATGTTTACATGTCTTTTCTCTTTCCTAGAAGCCAGGCTCTTTGAGTGCTGGGACTATATCTTATTTGTCTTTATATAGTAGCTTCTAGTACATGACACTCGAATGTGAAATAAATAAAAGAATTTTTTTATTAGTGCTTTATTTTTGGAATATGTTCACACGCTTAGGGTGAGGAAAAACAATAGAGAGACAAAGACAAAGAATTGTGTACATTCCTTAAGAATATGAAAGTGCCCAGATTTGGGGATGTGACTGATCAAGAGGACACTTTATCTTTTGACTGAGACTTTGGGAAAGTATGAAGATGTTAAGAATGGAAGTTAAAACATTCTTAACTAGCAGTCCCAACTTCCTCTATAAATTTTAACATTAGAAGAGATCTCTGAGAGACTACGCTTAACTTAGGGAGCAGAATTTGGTGAAGTCTCCTTTAATATGCCTAACTTCAACTCCCTTTCATGAACATTTTCCTCATCTACTGCAGTTTACTGTTATCCTTCAAAAACCAGTACTACACAGAGTATACAAGATGTCATCAGACCCATACAGTAGGACTACCACTTTCTTCAATCTAAACATGTGCTCAATGGAAATAATACTCTCAATTACATAGTGTTGTAAAAATTAAATGAAAATATATATGAAGTACTAAACATAGTAACTGACACACAGTAGTACCAAGTGTTAGCTGTCATTCTTTGAATTACTATTATTGTTATTGAGTCTTCTGTTTTATGCCTATCACTTCAAAGGTAACTAAAAACACATTCCCAGTTTGTTTTATCTCTTATTATCCACTGATTTTTAACATGCAGAGATCAGTAGCTAATTGTGCAACACCAAAATAGGATACAATAGATGTAAATTTTTAGATCAAACAAAATAAATATGTATGATACTTCAATCAAAATAATTTCAGGGCTGTTTCTCTCAACTTTGGTCACTCTCTGCTTTGAAAAAAAAAATTGTGTTTCTATTAGCAATGTTTTTCATCCTAATAATAAAAGGAAATTTTCAGAATCAGTATTAATTGACATTATAAAAGAAATATCTATACACACAATTCTTTTTTGTTTTCAAATAAAGTTAAAAATAAATCACAAAATTGGGGTGAAAACACACAAAATCTCATTTTTTTTCTTTTTTTAACCAGAGAATTACTTTAAAAGCTACCAAGTAGAACACAAATAAAATGTTGTGATTGAAGGTATTCAGAGATTTTTCTCTTAATTTTACTGTTTTTAGTAAACAAATCCTTGCTTAAAATAATATAGGCAACAATAGGTTCTATAAACTTTCCTCTAACCACACCAGGGGAAAAAAACCCAAAACCTTATTAATCATGCAAACCTGTAGGAAGAAGCACAGATCTGAAAAGGTAATAATGATACTTGTCTAACTAGAATAATATAAAAGTGATCTATTTTCATTACCTCCATGTAAATTAGGTCATCCTGAACTGTGAAAGACCAAAACCACATGTGTATGACCTTAAATGCAATATAATCTCTCGTTTCTCAAATGACAGAATCAGAATACTATACTTGTTCTACAGAAAAGCTGACATACAAATGTAAACCATTAAAGCTAACACAAATCATCTTTAATTTCTTAAATATTATAACATTTCCCACTGTCAAAAGCAGGGTGATTTATTACAGAGAGAAGATTCAAGGTAGAAAAGACCACAACTCAAATGATTTCTTTCCCAACTTAAGCATCATCACTGTCATTCTGAATCTAATAACAAGTTTTTAATTAAAAAATCCCTGCAGTTGCTAAGCATAAGTGATTAATAAAAACGTATCATTAATCATTGAAACCCGTCAAAAATACTCGAGACCTAGGGCAGTCAAACATCTTATCTGAAGAACAGCTAACAATATTAAGGAAAATGCTTTCTTTTTTTTTTAAATTTTATTATTATTATACTTTTAAGTTTTAGGGTACATGTGCACAATGTGCAGGTTAGTTACATATGTATACATGTGCCATGTTGGTGTGCTGCACCCATTAATTCGTCATTTAGCATTAGGTATATCTCCTAATGCTATCCCTCCCCACTCCCCCCACCCCACAACAGTCCCCAGAGTGTGATGTTCCCCTTCCTGTGTCCACGTGTTCTCATTGTTCAATTCCCACCTATGAGTGAGAACATGCAGTGTTTGGTTTTTTGTCCTTGCGATAGTTTGCTGAGAATGATGGTTTCCAGTTTCATCCATGTCCCTACAAAGGACATGAACTCATCATTTTTTATGGCTGCATAGTATTCCATGGTGTATATGTGCCACATTTTCTTAATCCAGTCTATAGCGGTTGGACATTTGGGTTGGTTCCAAGTCTTTGCTATTGTGAATAGTGCCGCAATAAACATACATGTGCATGTGTCTTTATAGCAGTATGATTTATAATCCTCTGGGTATATACCCAGTAATGGGATGGCTGGGTCAAATGGTATTTCTAGTTCTAGATCCCTGAGGAATCACCACACTGACTTCCACAATGGTTGAACTAGTTTACAGTCCCACCAACAGTGTAAAAGTGTTCCTATTTCTCCACATCCTTATCTACAACCATCTGATCTTTGACAAACCTGACAAAAAGAAGAAATGAGGAAAGGAGTCCCTATTTAATAAATGGTGCTGGGAAAACTGGCTAGCCATATGTAGAAAGTTGAAACTGGATCCCTTCCTTACACCTTATACAAAATTTAATTCAAGATGGATTAAAGACTTACATGTTAGACCTAAAACCATAAAAACCCTAGAAGAAAACCTAGGCAATACCATTCAGGACATAGGCATGGGCAAGGACTTCATGTCTAAAACACCAAAAGCAATGGCAACAAAAGCCAAAATTGACAAATGGGATCTAATTAAACTAAAGAGCTTCTGCACAGCAAAAGAAACTACCATCAGAGTGAACAGGCAACCTACAAAATGGGAGGAAAATGCTTTCTTAATCATAAGGGTAGCATATGGCTATCATTCAGTAACTTAGGAATATCTATTTGAATTTATTATCTATGACTCTTTTTTTAAAGTAAATTGTGAAGTGGCAAAGGAGAGAAGCACTTTGCAGATGATAGGAAAGAACATACATAAATAGCTACAGAAAGAATTAGTTTTAAACATATTATTCAAAGAACAGCTTCTTATAAGGCAGCCAATCAATTAGAATAAAAAAATTAAGCAAGTGTTGGAGGTGACTAGAAGCAAAGCTTCCTTTGAGCTGGAGCTGCAAGGTAAAAATTAATTAATTAATAAAATTAATAAAAATTAAATTGAATTTAAAAAAAAAAGAAGCAAAGTGGTGGAAGAGAAGAAAGAACCCATCAAGATAGCTCAAACGTAACTAATGGATGAAAAAGAAGCTTGTTAACATCTGTTAGATGTTAGATGTTAGAGCCCATCTCTAACTGGGCAGATCACTGTCTTCAACCAAGCATGGAATTCTAAAAGGAAGAATACAAAGCAATAATAAAAGAGAAATGCCCACAATACTAGCCAAAACAACAACATGAAATCAGATAGTCAAGGAAGTAACAGTGAGACCACATTCATATCTCCATTCAGATTTTTGTATAATCCCCTCCTAAAGTCTATTTGTACTGCTGAAAAGAACCAAAATGAGTTACTGAGCAAATTCGAATACCAGACATGGTAAAGAAAGAGTAGCTATCAAAGAAAGAGGCACTGCAGTGAGGAAAAAAGATGGTCTTGAACTGCCTACACCATCACTCCCTCATCCCTGGATAGTGCCTGTGTGTTGCAGAGACAGAATCCATGTACTTGGGGAAGACAGAGCACAGTGACTGTGAAACTTTGCATTGGAACTCACTGCTGCCCTATTACAGCAGAAAGTAACACAGGACAAAATTCAGCCCATGCCAAAGGAGGGAGCATTTAGACCAGCCCTAGCAAGAGGAAATCCCAGCAGTCAGTGAGTTCCAGGTAGACCCACCACCACGGGCTAAAGCACTCTGGGTCCTTATAAACTTGAAACTTTATTAGGGGTCCTAAATAAACTTGAAAAGCAGTCTAGGCCACAAGGACTGTAATCCCTGGGGAAGTCCTGGTGCTATGCTGGGCTTGGAGCAAGGAGACATGAGGTGCAAGTGATCTAGATAGACACTAGGTAGGGCAGCCAAGGGAGTGCTTATGTCACCATTCCTGTAATTCTAGGCAGCACAGCTTGCAGCTTTGGTGGATACTCCTTCCAATTTGAGGAAATAAGAGGGGAGAGTAAAGAGGACTTTGTCCTGGAACTTAAATACCAGCTGAGCAATAGTAAAATAAAGCACCAAGCAGAGTCCTGAAGCCCCCATTCCAGGCCCTCGCTCTCAGATAACATTTCACGACACACTCTAGGTCAAAAGGGAAAAGGGAATCCACTCTTGGTAGGATTCATCACCTGCTGAATGAAGAGCACTTGGGCCTAAAATAAACATCAGCAGTAGCCAGGCAATAGAGCCACAGGCCATGGATGAGATCCTGTGCTATGCTGGCTTCAGGTCTGATAAAGAACAGTCCCAAAGGTGGTGGCCACAGAAATGGTTGTGTCACCCCTCCCCAAACACCAGGTAGCTCAGCACACAGAGAGAGAATCTCTTTGGAGAAGAGTAAAGGAAGAGAACAAGAGTCTCTGCCTGCTAATACAAAGAATTTTCCTGGATCTTACCGAAGACCACCAAAGAGGTACCTCTAAAATTCCACAAGGATCATTACATGGCTTGGGGTGCCCTCTAACGCAGATATACCTGCAGTGACCAAAGACTTAACTCACAACACTCAATTCCCATTGAATACATGGAAAGCCTTCCCAGGAAGAACTGGTACAAATAAATCCAAACTTGAAGACTACAATAAATACCTAACTCTTCAATGTTCAGACACCCAACAAACATCCACAAGAATTAAGATCATCCAGGAAATCATCAACTCCCAAATGAACTAAATGAAGCACTAGCAATCAATCCAAAAGTAACAGAGATATGTGACCTTTCAAATAGAGAATTCGAAATAGCTGCTCTGAGAAAGTTCAAAGAAATTCAAGATAACAAAGAGAAAGAATTCAGAATCATATCATATAAATTTAACAAAGAGACTGAAATTATTTTTTTAAAATCAAGCAAAAATTCTGGAGCTGAAAAATTCAACTGACATACTGAAGAATGAATCATAGTCTTTCAACACCAGAATTGATCAAGCAGAAGAAAGAATTAGTCACCTTGAAGACAGCCTATTTGAAAACACACAATTAGAAGAGATAAAAGAAAAAAAGAATAAAAAAGAATGCACCATAACTACAAGGTCTAGAAAATAGCTTCAAAAGGGCAAATTTAAGAGTAATTATCCTTAAAGAGGAGGCAGAGAGAGAGAGAGATCAGTTGCAGAATGTGTATTCAAAGGGATAATAACAGAGTACTTCCCGGCCGGGCGTGGTGGCTCACGCCTGTAATCCCAGCACTTTGGGAGTCCGAGGCAGGCGGATCATGAGGTCAGGAGATTGAGACCATCCTGGCTAACACAGTGAAACCCTGTCTCTACTAAAAATACAAAAGCAAAAAAATTAGCCAGGTGTGGTGGCCGGCGCCTGTAATCCCAGCTACCTGGGAGGCTGAGGCAAGAGAATGGCATGAACCCGGGAGGTGGAGCTTGCAGTGAGCCGAGATGGCACCACTGCACTCCAGCCTGGGCCACAGAGCAAGACTCCATCTCAAACAAAACAAAACAAAACAAAACAAAAAAAACACACAGAGAACTTCCCAAACGTAGAGAAAGATAAAAATATTCAAGTATAAAAAGGTTATAGAACACCAAGCAGATTTAACTCAAAGAAGACAACCTTAAGGTTGTCTAACACCCAAAGGTCAAAACACCCAAAGGTCAAGGTTGTATAACACCCAGAGGTCAATCTAACACCCAAAGGTCAAGAATAAAGAAAGGATCCTAAATGCAGCAGGAATAAAGAAACAACATACAATGGAGCTGCAATATGTCTGGCAAGCAGACTTCTCAGTGGAAACCTTACAGGACAGGAGAGAGTGCCATGACATTTTAAAGTGCTGGAGGAAAAAAAAAATCTTAGGATAGTATATTCAGTGAAAATAGCCTTCCAACATGAAGCAGAAATAAAGTCTTGCACAGATCAACAAAAACAGAGAGATTTTATCAACACCAGACCTGTCCGACAAGAAATGCTAAAGGGAGTTCTTCAATCTGAAGGAAAAGGACATTAATGAACAATAAGAAATTATCTGAGGATACAAAACTCACTAGTAATAGTAAGTACACAAACACAGAAAATGATAACACTATAATTGTGCTTTGTAAACTAGTAAACTACTCACATTTTGGGTAGAAAGATGAACCTGTTAAAAATAACTACAACTTTTCAAGAGTTAGACAAGATAATAAGATATAAATAGAAACAACCCCTCCCCCTCCCCCTCCCCCTCCCCCTCCCCCCACGGTCTCCCTCTCATGCGGAGCCGAAGCTGGACTGTACTGCTGCCATCTCGGCTCACTGCAACCTCCCTGCCTGATTCTCCTGCCTCAGTCTGCCGAATGCCTGCGATTGCAGGCACGCGCCGCCACGCCTGACTGGTTTTGGTGGAGACGGGGTTTCGCTGTGTTGGCCGGGCCGGTCTCCAGCCCCTAACCGCGAGTGATCCGCCAACCTCGGCCTCCCGAGGTGCCGGGATTGCAGACGGAGTCTCGTTCACTCAGTGCTCAATGGTGCCCAGGCTGGAGTGCAGTGGCGTGATCTCGGCTCACTACAACCTACACCTCCCAGCCGCCTGCCTTGGCCTCCCAAAGTGCCGAGATTGCAGCCTCTGCCCGGCCGCCACCCCGTCTGGGAAGTGAGGAGTGTCTCTGCCTGGCCGCCCATCGTCTGGGATGTGAGGAGCCCCTCTGCCTGGCTGCCCAGTCTGGAAAGTGAGGAGCGTCTCTGCCCGGCCGCCATCCCATCTAGGAAGTGAGGAGCGCCTCTTCCCAGCCGCCATCACATCTAGGAAGTGAGGAGCGTCTCTGCCCGGCAGCCCATCGTCTGAGATGTGGGGAGCGCCTCTGCCCCGCCGCCCCATCTGGGATGTGAGGAGCGCCTCTGCCCGGCCGAGACCCCGTCTGGGAGGTGAGGAGCGTCTCTGCCCGGCCGCCCCGTCTGAGAAGTGAGGAGACCCTCTGCCTGGCAACCACCCCGTCTGAGAAGTGAGGAGCCCCTCCGCCCGGCAGCTGCCCCGTCTGAGAAGTGAGGAGCCTCTCCGCCCGGCAGCCACCCCATCTGGGAAGTGAGGAGCGTCTCCGCCCGGCAGCCACCCCGTCCGGGAGGGAGGTGGGGGGGGGGTCAGCCCCCCGCCCGGCCAGCCGCCCCATCCGGGAGGGAGGTGGGGGGTCAGCCCCCCCACCCGGCCAGCCGTGCCGTCCGGGAGGGAGGTGGGGGGGTCAGCCCCCCGCCCAGCCAGCCGCCCCGTCCGGGAGGTGAGGGGCGCCTCTGCCCGGCCGCCCCTACTGGGAAGTGAGGAGCCCCTCAGCCCGGCCAGCCACCCCGTCCGGGAGGGAGATGGGGGGGTCAGCCCCCCCACCCGGCCAGCCGCCCCGTCCGGGAGGGAGGTGGGGGGGGGTCAGCCCCCCACCTGGCCAGCCGCCCCATCCAGGAGGGAGGTGGGGGGGTCAGCGCCCCGCCCGGCCAGCCGCCCCGTCTGGGAGGTGAGGGGCGCCTCTGCCCGGCCGCCCCTACTGGGAAGTGAGGAGCCCCTCTGCCCGGCCAGCCGCCCCGTCTGGGAGGGAGGTGGGGGGGTCAGCCCCCCGCCCGGCCAGCCGCCCTGTCCGGGAGGGAGGTGGGGGTGTCAGCCCCACGCCCGGCCAGCCGCCTCGTCCGGGAGGGAGGTGGGGGGGTCAGCCCCCCACCCGGCCAGCCGCCCCATCCGGGAGGGAGGTGGGGGGGGTCAGCCCCCCTGCCCGGCCAGTGGCCCCGTCCGGGAGGTGAGGGGCGCCTCTGCCCGGCCGCCCCTACTGGGAAGTGAGGAGCCCCTCTGCCCGGCCAGCCGCCCTGTCTGGGAGGGAGGTGGGGGGGTCAGCCCCACGCCCGGCCAGCCGCCTCGTCCGGGAGGGAGGTGGGGGGGTCAGCCCCCCACCCGGCCAGCCGCCCCGTCCGGGAGGGAGGTGGGGGGGGTCAGCCCCCCTGCCCGGCCAGTGGCCCCATCCGGGAGGTGAGGGGCGCCTCTGCCCGGCCGCCCCTACTGGGAAGTGAGGAGCCCCTCTGCCCGGCCAGCCGCCCCGTCCGGGAGGGAGGTGGGAGGGGTCAGCCCCCCCGCCCGGCCAGCCGCCCCGTCCGGGAGGTGAGGGGCGCCTCTGCCCGGCCGCCCCTACTGGGAAGTGAGGAGCCCCTCTGCCCGGCCAGCCGCCCCGTCCGGGAGGTGGGGGTGTCAGCCCCCCGCCCGGCCAGCCGCCCCGTCTTGGAGGGAGGTGGGGGGGGTCAGCCCCCCCCCCGCCCGGCCAGCCGCCCTGTCCGGGAGGTGAGGGGCGCCTCTGCCCGGCCACCACCCCGTCTGGGAGGTGTGCCCAACAGCTCATTGAGAACGGGCCAGGATGACAATGGCGGCTTTGTGGAATAGAAAGGCGGGAAAGGCGGGGAAAGGATTGGGAAATCGGATGGTTGCCGTGTCTGTGTAGAAAGAGGTAGACATGGGAGACTTTTCATTTTGTTCTGCACTAAGAAAAATTCCTCTGTCTTGGGATCCTGTTGATCTGTGACCTTACCCCCAACCCTGTGCTCTCTGAAACATGTGCTGTGTCCACTCAGGGTTAAATGGATTAAGGGCGGTGCAAGATGTGCTTTGTTAAACAGATGCTTGAAGGCAGCATGCTCGTTAAGAGTCATCACCAATCCCTAATCTCAAGTAATCAGGGACACAAACACTGCGGAAGGCCGCAGGGTCCTCTGCCTAGGAAAACCAGAGACCTTTGTTCACTTGTTTATCTGCTGACCTTCCCTCCACTATTGTCCCATGACCCTGCCAAATCCCCCTCTGTGAGAAACACCCAAGAATTATCAATAAAAAAATAAATTAAAAAAAATAAATAAATAAATAAAAAATAAATAGAAACAACAAAAAGTTTAGAAGTGGGGCAAATGAAGGTAAAGTGTGGATTTTTTATTAGTTTTCTTTTTGCTTGTTTGTTACTAGGTTGGTGCAAAAGTAATCACAGTTTTTGCTATTGAAAGTAATGGCAAAAACTGCGATTACTTTTGCACCAACCTAATAGTATGTTTGTTGTTGCAATCAGTGTTAAGCTGTCATCAGTTTAAAATAGTGGGTTATAAGATATTATTTACAAGCTTCAGGGTAACTCAAGTCAAAAAACATACAAAAGATCACAAAAAATAAAAAGCAAAAACTCAAAGCACACCACCAAAAAAAATAACCTTCACAGAAAGGAAGATAGGAAGAAAGAGAATACTACAAAACAACAAGAAAACAAATAACAAAATGTCAGGAATAAGTCCTCATTTATCAATAATAATACAGAATGTAAATGGACTAAACTCTCCAATAAAAACACATAGAGTGGCTAAATGGATTTAAAAAATAAGACCCAATGATCTGTTGCCTACAAGAAATAAACATCACCTGTAAAAACACAAAACAGACTGAAAATAAAGGGATAGAAAAGATATCCCATGCAAATGGAAGCCACAAAGAACAGGAGGAGCTATAATTAGACAAAACAGATTTCAAGAGAAAAACTGTATGGCTCACGCCTGTAATCCTAGCACTCTGGGAGGCCGAGGCGGGCAGATCATGAGGTCAGGAGATCGAGACCATCCTGGCTAACACGGTGAAACCGCATCTCCACTAAAAAATACAAAAAAATTAGCCAGGTGTGGAGGCGGGTGCCTGTAGTCCCAGCTACTCAGGAGGCAGAGGCAGGAGAATGGTGTGAACCCGGCAGGTGGAGCTTGCAGTGAGCCAAGATCGCACCACTGCACTCCAGTCTGGGTGACAGAGCAAGACTCAGTCTCAAAGAAAAAAACACACACACACACACACACACACACACAAAGAGGGGTCACTATGTAATGATAAAGGGGTCAATTCAGCAACAGAATATAATGATTGTAAATATATATGCACCCAACATTGGAGCACCCAGATATATAAACCAAATATTAGAACTAAAGAAAGAGATCAGCCCCAATGCAATAGCTAGAGACTTCAACACTCCACTTTCAGCAATGAACAGATCATCCACACAGAAAGTAAATAAAGAAACATGGAACTTAATCTGCACCACAGTCCAAATAGACCTAACAGACATTTGTAGAACATTTGATCCAGTGGCTACAGAATATACATTCTTCTCCTCAGCTCATGGATCATTCACAAGGATAGGTCATCAGTTAGGCCAAAAAAAAGTATTAAATTTATTTTAAAAACTGAAATTATATCAAGTGTCTTCTCTGCCCACAACTAAATAAAACTAAAAATCAAGAGGAACTTTGGGAACTATACAAACACATGGAAATTAGACAACTTCCTCCTGAATGACCAGTGAGTCAATGAAGAAATTAAGAAGGAAATTTTAAAATTTATTGAAACAAATGAAAATGAAAACAGAACATACTAAAACCTATGGGATACAGCAAATGCAGTACTAAAAGGAAAGTTTATAGCTATAAGCACCTACATCAAAAAAGTAGAAAAAACATCAAACAACCTAACGATGCAACTTAAAGAACTAGAAAAGCAAGAACAAATCAAACCTAAAATTAGGAGAAAAAAAAGAAATAATAAATATCACACCAGAAATAAATGAAAAAAATGCAAAAGATCAACAAAATGACAAGTTATTTTTTAAAAGATAAACAAAATTGATAGAACTTTATACAGACTAAGAAAAAAAAAGAGAAGCCCCAAATAAATGAAATCAGAGATAAAAAGAAGACATTACAACCAATACTGCAGATATTTGAAGAATTATTAGAGACTTCTATGAGCAGCTACGTGTCAATACATTGTAAAACTTAGAATAAATGGATAAATTCCCAGACACAGACAACTTACCAAGATAGAACCATGAAGAAATCCAAAACCTGAATAGACCAATAAGAAGTAATGAGATCAAAGTCGTAATTAAAAAGTCTTCAGCAAAGAAAAGTCCAGGATCTGATGGCTTCATCACTGAACTTTACCCAACATTTAAAGAAGAATTAATATCAATCCCATTGGAACTATTTCAAAAAAAGGAGGAGAAAGGAATACTTCCAAACTCATTCTACAAGGCCAGTATTGTCCTGATGCCAAAACCAAAAACACATTTAAAAAAGAAAATTATAGGCCAATATTCCTGTTGAACAATTATGCAAAAATCCTCAACAAAATGCTAGGCAAACCAAACTCAGCAACACATTAAAAAGATCATTCATCATGACCAATTGGGATTTATCCTCGAGATAAAAGTATGATTCAACATACACAAATCAATCAATCTGATACATTATCAACAGAATGAAGGACAAAGACCATATGAGCATTTCAATTGATGCTTAAAAAATTTTGATAAACTTCAAAATCCCTTCATGATAAAACCCCTCAAAAAAAAACTGGATACAGAAGCAACATATCTCAACACAATAAAATCCATATACAAAAGACCCACAGCTAGTATCACTGTGAATGGGTGAAAACTGAAAGTCTTTCCTCTAAGATAGTGGAACACAACAAGGAAGCCCAACTTTACCACAGTTATTCGACATAGTACTGAAAGTCCTAGCCAGAGCAATTACACAAAAGAAAGGTATAAAGGGCACTCAAATTGAAAAGGAAGAAGCCAATTATCTTTCTTTGGAGATGATACGATCTTATATTTGGAAAAACTAAAGACTCTACCAAAAAAACTATTCAAACTGATAAATTCAGTAAAATGCAGAATGCAAAAATCAACATAAAAAATCAGTAGCATTTCTGTAAGTCAAGAGCAAACAATCTAAAAAATAATTAAATACCTATGAATTAACTTAACCAAACAAGCGAAAGACCTCTATAATGAAAACTATAAAATACTGATGAAAGAAATCAAAGAGGACACCAAAAAATAAAAAGATATTCCACGTTCACGCACTGGAAGAATCAATATTGTTAAAATGTCCATATTACCCAAAGCACTCTACAGATTTAATGTAATCCCTTTTAAAATACCAATGACATACTTCACAGAAATAGAAAAAACAATCCTAAAATTTATATGGAATCACAAAAGACTCAGACTAGCCATGGCCATCCTAAGCAAAAAGAACAAAACTGGAAGAATCACATTACCTGACTTCAAATTATACTAAAGAGCTATAGCAACCAAAACAGCATGGGGTTGGCATTAAATAAAAGACATGTAGACCAATGGAACAGAAGAGAGGACACAGAAATAAATCCATATGTCTATAGTGAACTCTTTTTTGACAAAGGTGCCAAGAACATACATTGAAGAAAGGACAGTCTCTTCAATAAATGGTGCTGGGAAAATTGAATATCCATATGCAGAGGGATGAAACTAGGCACCTCTCACCATATACAAAAGTCAAATCAAAATGGATTAAAGATTTAAATCTAAGACCAAAACCTATGAAGCTACAATAAGAAAACATTGGGGAAACTCTCGAGGACATTGGTCTGGGCAACAATTTATTGAGTAATACCCCCAGAAGCACAGGCAACCAAGGCAAAAATGGACAAAAGGGATCACATCAAGTTAAAAAGCTTCTGGTAAGTGGATAATTCACAAAGTGTTTCATACATATTTTCCTTATTATTAATAACTAGAAAGTGGAATTAATTCCATTGTGAATCAGTCACTCAGCCTGTTTCCACAGTGGCCAGTGCACTCACAAGGTATTATAGGGATTCTATTTCAGAAAAAGGGAAGCAGTAGATGACTCTATCTCTTCTAATTCAAAGATTCACTGAAAATATGCAGCTGTATCACTATCACCATGATGTGTGAATGATCACACCAAGGTAATCACTAAATCATTTTTTTAGTCTGAATCCTAATCACTAAATAGGCAGCAAAAGAGGGTAAAATGGCTATACAAGCACTCCTAGACACAAGGTCCCTAAAGAAGTAGACTTTGTGTAGCCGCAGACCTTCTACAACTACTTATGAGAACGAAAGTCCAAAGGCCAGAAAGTACTTCCTCACACTATGCAGAACAGATGTAAAATGCTGACAGTAATCCCAGGCAGGTGTAAATGCTCAATAAAAGCTAACTCCTATTGTTGTTATTATCATTACAGAGAGCATTCTCCAGAGATCACCACGAAAATAAGTTTCAAGTACTATATGCTTTTAGACACCCTATATACCTTAACATTCCTGACAAACTATAAGGTCTCCAGCTCTCACTAGAGATCATCCTCCAGAACATTTAAATTTCTTAGGTCAGTTGAAACATGATTAAGATGTCTTACTCTAATGGCACTACATTTTGATTTGATTTATTGCCACCACACCAAGTAAAGCTGCTGTCAGTCAGGGATGAAACAGGCCTAAATGGCCAGCAGCTACACAGCTACAGTGCTGGCAGAGAAGACACTCAATAAACATCTAAGAGAAAGGAAGAGACTTCTAGGGGAAAGCACAAATCCCCTCCCCTCAAACAGGATGGATTATTTCTGGTTTTCCTAGTAATTTTGATCTGTAAATCTATAATGTGCTGAGAGCCCAAAACAATATAGACTGCTTAACAGATAAAAATCCAAAAGGAGTACCCACTCCTTTTGAAGGGAAAGAAGGAATGATTTTTCATGGCTCTTCCCCTACTTTTCTGACTTTCTTTTAGACTAATATGCAGGCAGACTAATGAACCCAATCAGATTTTTAAAATTTGACTATAGGTATTGTCAAATTAAATCTCTGACAGAAAGAGCAGTTCTTAATGAGGTTTTACAGCATATAGGCTACCTAAAAAATCAAATGTATTAGCCCGATAAATATTTAAAACTTGCTAAGCCTCACTTGTAATCAGGGAAATGTAAACAAAATGAGATATTTATTGTGAACTAGAGTGGTAAAAATTGAAAAGACATAATATCTACTGTTGGCAAATTTATGAGACAAAGGGTACTCAGATACACAATAGGAAAGGGCATATATTTGCAATCTTTCTGGACAGAAATTTGGTACTACCTATACAAAAACAGATCTCCATACCACAACAATTTCAATTCCAGATATGTGTTTGTGTTTCAGAGTACATACTATTTGTATATTTGTAATAGCAGGAAATAAAAAGGGAAAATGATTATAGGACCCTCAAAAGAGAAATGGAAAAATAAAATTATGCTATATCCACACCACAGAATACTGTGCAATTAAAGAGGGAGAAATCGTTTAATGTAGTGTTCATAACATTGTTTGAGGTGAAAAACAAGTTGCCAAGCAGGATATAAAGAATATTCCTCTTGGAAAACAATACATAAACTGTTAAAAAAAATTTCTGGCTAGGTGCAGTGGCTCATGCCTGTAATCCCAGCACTTTGGGAGGCCAAGGCAGGCAGATCACCTGAGGTCAAAAGATCAAGACCATCCTGGCCAACATGGTGAAACCCTGTCTCTACTAAAAATACAAAAATTAGCTGGGCATGGTGGCACGTGCCTGTAGTCCCAGCTACTCAGGAGGCTGAGGAAGGAGAATCACTTGAACCCAGGAGTCGGAAGTTGCAGTGAGCCGAGAGGGCACTACTGCACTCCAGCCTGGGCAACAAGCAAGACTCCATCTCAAAAAAAAAAAAAAAAATTCTTCTGAGAATTAGAATTGGTGGGCAGGGAAGAGGAATGGTCCATTTTACATCTGTTGATTTAAATTTTTATTTTATCTACCCATCTGCACACTGATGTTGATTTAAATTTTTAAACAATAAAAAAGAAAAAACAGAAATTCTACATATTTTTCTTTGTTTTCTAAGTAATACAAAGCTGCTTATCTTCCCAAATCATAAATCAGTGACTAGCTTTACAAAGATGATTTTTACAGTTTTGTTAATTTATTTAAATATCTCAAAGATTTGGTTAAGTACATGATATTCTCAGTCAAAAACTAAGATTAGTACAGAGAATCACGTTAGCTAATTCATGTGCTTGGGAAAAACGAACTGACAACCATCAACAATACTTACTAGGGAAAAATAGAAAATGCTATTATATTATCAGTTTATCTCAGAGAAAATCCACTTGGGGATTTTCTATTGCATTTGGTTTATCATTAGTCAACAACAATAAGAACTCTATCCTGTTTCTGACCAATCCCCTCTCTTTATTAGGCTACCATTTAAAATGTTATTGATTAAAATGTTAAAATGTTAATGTTTAATATGTATTAAACATATTAACATATTAAACTGTAGCCATAATGAATAAACATTCTTACCTCCCTCTTTTAGCATGCTGCATCTAGACAATCTTTTAAAACACACGCTTTACTGAACCACCTAGGAAAATATACTTACACATAAATTGAAAGATTTTAAAAATTAAGTCAAATTTCTATGAAAAACTGTAACATTTAGCCAGCTCCACTGACCCTTCAAGTACAGAGTTCAGTTATCCATCATTTAAAGGCTGGTTGTACTTATCAAGAAAGATACTTAAATTAAGCCTTCCAACCTTCAGATAAGTATCAGTGTGTAACTTTTTTCAGAATACGACTACTTTGCATGTAGATATGTAAGATTTCTCTCCTTTTGAAACACATTTCATTAAGCAAAACAAATCTTCAGGTCATAAGATAATTATTTGCCTTGAAAAACAAAGATAAGAATGAAATTTTTTAATAGCTTAAAACTTTAGAAATCAAAGATTTTCACCCAATTCCCAATTATTCTATGAATTACATTAAGTAGAAAAAAGGATTTTAATGGACAGGAAAAGTTCCATTTCAGTTCAAACTTCAGGGATTTTAAATAAAACATCTGTGCAAAACATGTACTCTGAACAATGTCAATAAAATACATGAGTAAGCGGTCAAGTTTTCATCCAAGTTGTTAAACTGAACTTCCCTCCTACTTCTAATATTCTCTCCTATCCAATGCCATCCTATTCTACAACACTTACAGAAGTGTTGATAAAGAAATCATACAACCAGCATGGTGCCAATGTCTCTAAGATAAATTATAAATTAATTTTAATCTTCATCTTTCAAGCAACATTTTGTAACACGAAGCATGGCAAAGATGCATCATATTAGCATTCAGAATTTGGGGAGTTGCGAAGTGAGGCACTTATCACACTGAAGTTAGAAAAATGATGGACAGTTGTATACACATTATCATCACATGAAAATAACATGAATTAAGAAAGAACTATCTATCCATCTGACAACAATCTAATATCCAGAGTCTACCAGGAACTTAAAGAAATTTACAAGAACAAAACCCCACTAAAAAGTGGCAAGGGACATGAACAGACACTTCTCAAAAGAAGACATTCATGCAGCCAACTAACATGAAAAAAAAAATCAACATCACTGATCATTAGAGAAATGCAAATCAAAACCACAATGAGATATCATCTCACGTCACTCAGAATGGTGATTATTTAAAAGTCAAGAAACAACAGATGCTGGCAAGGTCGTGAAGGAAAAGAGACGCTTTTACACTGTTGAGAAATTATTTCAACCATTGTGGAAGACAATGTGGCAATTCCCGAAAGATCTAGAAGAAGAAATACCATGTGACTCAGCAATCCCATTACTGGGTATATACCCAAAAGAATATAAATCATTCTATTATAAAGATACATGCACTGTATGTTCATTGTACCACTATTCACAATTAGCAAAGACATGGAATCAACCCAAATGCCCATCAAGATAGACTAAATAAATAAAATGTGGTATATATACATCATGGAATACTATGCAGCCATAAAAAGGAACAAGATCATGTCCTTTGTAGGAACATGGATGGAGCTGGAAGCCATTATCCTCAGCAAAGTAATGCAGGAACAGAAAAGCAAACACTGCATATTCTCATAAGTGGAAGCTGAACGATGAGAATACATGGACACATGGCAGGGAAAAACACACACTGGGGCCTGTCTGGGGAGTGGGGAAGGGGGAGTATCAGGAAGAATAGCTAATGGATGCTGGGCTTCATATCCAGGTGACAGACTGATCTTTTCAGCAAATCATGTGCACATGTACCCCAGAACTTAAAAGTTGAAGAAAAAAAGAAAAGGAAGAACTAAGGATAACATTCCATGGGGTACTGGCTAATTCAGAACTAATTTCTTAACTTCTCAAAGGAAGAGTTTTAAACAAATTAGAAAGAAATAAAGAGAAACATGTTCACTTAATTCTTGGCAATGTCTCTTTACATTAATAATGTTTCATATCATGTAAATAGTATATCTACAAAGTACTAAGTGAACTAAATTTGACATTAGTGTGCAAACACCAAAAGAAAAAAGAGGTCACCAAGAAAAACTAAACCTAAAAAATTTAATAACCAAATAGAAGTATTTAAAAATAAAACTTATTAACTCTTTTCTAAAAGCATACAATACAAAAAGTCATAGTCACAACTCATATTTACTATAAAGTTGAAACTTAAGCTTCATAAAATATTTTTACATTCAAGGGTGCGGTGGCTCACACCTGTAATTCCAGCACTTTGGGAGGCTGAGGTGGGTGGATCACTTGAGGTCAGGAGTACGAGATCAGCATAGCCAACATAGCAAAACCCCATCTCTACTAAAAATACAAAAATTAGCCAGGCATGGTGGTGCACGTCTGTAATCCCAACTACTCGGGAGGCTGAGGCAGGAGAATCAATTGAACCTGGGAAGCAGAGGTTGCAGTGAGCTGAGATCACGCCACTGCACTCCAGCCTGGGCAATAGAGTGAGACTCCGTCTCAAAAAAAAAAAATTAGATAAAATTGCCTTCAAACAGTATTAACAACACTGAAGACTAATCCTTCCTCAACTAACTTATAAGCAATATAAAAAAATATTCTTATGATTTTAAGATGTACTTTATTAGACTGTCCACTTATGATAGCCTGAATTAGACATTCGGGACTTGCCATAATACCCAACTGTACAGTTATAGCCCTGAATACTGACAACTTGTTTAGGCTCACTTAAATGACCAAATGAGAAAACTGGGTGCCTGCCATCACACCTGTATAATGAAATACTAGCTTCACCATGCTTTTCTTTTTCTCTTGCTACTTCACAAATTTCCTTTCATAGAGATTTTCTGTTAAGAACAAAGTCAATCTATGAAATTTGAGTTTTTGCGCTGCATGTTTCAAAATGCAAAAAAAAACTTTAATTTTTTAAAGATATTTTCTACTAGAAATACGCTAAAACTTCATTATAAATACTATCCATGTAAAAAGTTGTATAAGAACTGTTTATTTTGAAGCACTAATCCAAAGAAAATCTATTATATAATAAAATGTACCAAAGTAACATGATATGTACACAAGAAAAGTATAGTCATACAGTACATTTCACAGACTTTCAGGAATTACATAAAACATACTTAAATCTATTCACAAATATGCTGTGACTACTGGGGTCAGCCAGCTTTCCTGTAAAGAACCAAATAGTAAATATTTTCAGCTCTGTAACACACTTTTCTTCTTTTTTTATTACAACCTTTTAAAAGTGCAAAACCCATTCTTAGCTCAGGAGTCCTAATTTGACAACCTGAGGCTCCTTTCAGAGTACCAATTCATATTTTATTTGCTTCAAAAATGTTAAATATGAAAGAATTTTTAAGTGTACAATATTACACTTTTCCAAAGGAACAATTTCATTAAAAATGAGAGTATATTTATAGCAATAAATAAATATTATTAATCATAATAAAATACCAGACTATATACCTTACAATTTAATATAATAGAAATCATTCCCACATACACTAAATAGGTTAAAATCAAATTTCAATCCACCAAATTCAAGAATAGTACCACTTAAAAAAAAAAAACACTACATTTCAGTAAATTTTCCACCAGTTAAAAACAGGATAATAAACTCTCCAGTGACAAAAACATTGCTACAGGAGGTGATTAAAATATATTCTTTGTCAAAGGTCAATTACTCCTTAAAACTGCATGAGGATTTTTACTGGTAAAAGATATACAACCCAGACACCTGAAAATTTAAGATACTTTCGTTGAATGCTGTCAATTGCCACTCTTAAGAAACTGTTGTTGTATTTTTAAAATACATAATGATTACATATGATTGAGGCTAGAATAAGATTAAACCTTAACAGACTATAATCATAAATTTAACATTGCTATTTTGTATTTCAGAGCTTTAAATCAAATACAAATCACAGGGGAGAAAATTCACATTAAATGCTTGAGTCTAGTTGATATGAGACCCTATCATACTCAAGCATGGTTAAATTGTTTTTTGAAATACCACTGGTTATCTGTAGAGAAAAAGGTCAAGAGCCCAAATAATACCCTTAATTAGTCCCACAGCACTTAGGATCTAAGCCACACATTTGGCATGTACTATATTTGAGTCAAACGCAACTCAAACTGCAATGTTTCACAGTATTCCTTAACTTCTGTAATGATTTAAACTGTTTATTCCTATTTAAAATATAAGCAATCTTAAAGGAACTTTTTGTCATCTCAGAATCAAACATAATGCTAAAAATATAGCAGGTACACAAATATTTTTTAAATTAATAAAATTAATTAATACACAAATATAGCCTCTTCCAGGGCAAGCTAACCCAGAACTCAGTCCTTGAATATGGCAATTAAAGAGAGGTCTGACTCAGACACCTTTTCATGTCAATAATTTTCTTAAAATCAGTCATTTTCTATTTCTAGGGCCAGTACCCTAGTTCAGGCTTTTATCCCCTCAAATGAGACTTACATATCACAGGTTCTTCTCTGTTAACATTTTACAAAGCTTACTTCCAGCTTAATCTTCCTCACGAAAATCTTTGCTCATGCTATGTCCTAGCTCAAATCCCTCCAGTGATTTTCCACTGCTTTATACAATTAAAGTCCATAATGTTCTATGTTTCTGTGGAGGCTCTTCATGGCCTGCTTTCAGTCTGCCTCTCCAACCTCAAACACTGCCTCATAACCATACTTCATATTCTGCTTGCACATGTAATTCTTGTTTTCACAAATGTCAAAATGTTATCCTTTCTACTTTCTACTCTTCCCTGAGATTTTCTGCTGACCTTGAATATGCAAGCTACCGTGGGTTCTAAAGCCGCAACGAAATGAATTCTGCCAAAATCATGTGAGCTTTGAAGAGCACCCCAAGCCTCAAAGAGACTACAGCCCTAAACAAAACTGATTACAGTCATCTGAACTCTGAACAGAGGACTCAACTAAGACATGTCCAGACTTCTGACCCATGGAAACTGTGATCTAGTAAATGTGTGATGATTTAAGATGCTAAATTTTTTTTGGTAATCTGTTATGCAGCAATAGAAAACAAATACAAATACACTCTCTCCCTCCACTTTTTCTCAAATATTCTTCCTTATCAGATATATTTTTAATCATTTTAATTTGTCAGAATACATAATGTAAAAATGCAATAATACAACAATACTTTAAAGTCCTTCCTCCTCCATTCTTTCTCTCTCTTTCTCTCTCTCTCTCACACACACACACACACACACACACACACACATTTATAAACACTGAAATTATCTGGTAAAGAAACAGCATCTATCATGCCAAGATTATTGCATGGAAACATATTTCTTCATTTGTAAAATGGATATAATAATTGTACCTACCATATAGAGTTGATAAGAGGATTAAATGAGCTAATATAGGTAGGCAATTTAAACTCTTGTTTCTCAAACCATGGTGTAACCAGGAGCAGTGGTATCCAGACATTTTTTAGGAAAGCAGACCAGGCCCTACCCCTGACCTATAAAATAAAGCTTCGTTTTAACAAGATCTCCAGGTAATGCATGTGCACATTTAAAGTTTAAAAAGCATTTCCTTAACCAGTGCCTGCCACACATAAGCACTATATGATTATCTTTTCTTTAAAAGTTCATTTCTTTTCTATATCCTCTAGTTCCTTTTCATCCAAGTATAAACAATTTTCAGCCAGGGATGGTGGCTCACACCTGCAATCCCAGCACATTGGAAAGCCAAGGCAGGAGGACCACTTGAGCCCAGGAGTTCCAGACCAGCTTGGGCAACACAAGAAGATCTCAACTATACAAAAAATTTAAAAATTAGCCTGGGGTAGTGGCACATGCCTGTGGTCCTAACTACTCAGGAGGCTGAAGCAGGAGGTTCAATGAGAGGTTCACTTGAACCCAGGAGTTCAAGGCTACAGTGAGCCATGATCACACCACTGCATTCCAGCCTAGGCAAAAGAGTAAGACCCTGTCTCAAAAAAGAATCTTCATTTGCAAACTTGTTTCTATAGTAAAAGCTATGACAACTCAGGGGGAAAATTTTTTTAAGATAGCATTTTAGCCAATACAAACACAAAAACAACAACAAAAAATGCAGATTTTACTAAACCTAAAAGGTACAACAAAGTGTTAAGCTTACCTAATGTTACCATGAACCTGGACACTTAAAATTACTTGGGCATATGTCTTTTAAGCAACAGAAATAGAATTATTTTGTCATCTCTCAGAATCAAGCATAGTGCTAAAAATACAGCAGGTACACAAATATTTGTTACATGAATCAAATTAATACACAAATATGCCCTCTTCCAGGGCACACTAACCCAGAACTGAGCCTTTAGGATAGCACAATGTATTAGACATTTGTTCTCTTCAAATAGTTTCTTCCTGCAGTTTACTATCCATGTTACAAGTATAAATGCAAGTATGAGACCAACAAACAGAAAGCCAGTTTAAAATTCAGATGAAGCAAAACCAAGTAGCTCTCTAACTTCAACAGAGGCAATCCAGAACATGTGGGAGTATATACAGGTGACAAATTAATTTTAAAATAATCCTCATAAAACAGTATTGGTGGACTTAACTTTCTGCTAAGATTATTGGTATTCAAATTAATGCCCTTTAACACACTTCATTTTTTGAACAGCATTTGAAAGATAGGCAAAGATACCTTAATTCATTTTACTTTAGATCTCTCCCAGAAAATTAAAAGCAACTTTAAATCTGTATCCCTTTTTAGTTAAATTACAGGCTAAGGCAAGACAATTTAGAATGACTTGAACTTCCACTTTTGCTTTGACAGGCAAATTGTTGAAAATAATTAAATAAAAGAATACTCTAATTCCCCACAGCAGGAAAGCATTTTTATGCCACCTCCAGCTCTAACTTTTGATGTTTGCGTTGACAAAATGTCAATTACAGAACTAATAATAAAGTGTATTGAAAATGTATGAAACACCTGATCTATAAAAGAAAAGAAACTATTACTTCCTACTCTGTAATTTTCGTAGCTTTTTTTTATATAGGTGATGGCTAATACATATTTCAAAAGACAAGGTGACATATCAAATAGTGAAAAACTGTTAAGAATAGAAGTGAAAAAATTTTAAGAGAAAAACAAAAATTCAGTGACTTGCTCCTGTTTGGACCATATATAAGAATAATTAATTGAAAATTGTATTTTATGTTTTTGATGTTTTAAAGTGCAATTCCAGAAATGTTATCTCTGCTTTTCTAGTCTTTCTCATTATTGAATAATTTTAAGGTATTTTAAAAGAAAAACATTCATTGACATTACTATCCCTTTATTGCTATTCATTCATTCATTTATTATTATTCATACTATTTACTGAGCTGGCAAGATTTCACTAAGAAGATAGCATTCACAGAAAGACTGGAAAAAGGGGAGAGAAAGAACCATGTGCCTATTTGGTGGAAAAAAAGAGCTCCAGGTAGAGAGGGAAGAGCAAGTGCAATAGCCCAGAGGCAGCAGTTCATCTGGTTTGTTTGTTGGAAGAACAGCAAAAGGACAAGTGTATAATTTATGAGGCTGAGAGTGGTAGAACATTAGGTCAGAAAAGTAAAACTCAGACAGCAAGATTATGTATGGTTTTGTGAATCATGGTAAACAGAACTTTGGCTAAGTAAAATGAGAAGCCACCAAAGGATTTTCAGAAGAGGAATAATGTCATCTGACACATTTCAAAAGGATGAATATGGCTGGTGTGTGGAACACAGACTCCAGGGGAGGGGACAAGGCTGGAAGGCAGGAAGACCAGTTTGAGGTATCACAATAATCCAGTACAGAAAACATAGGGTCAGACAGAGGTTGGATTATAAATTCCTATACTTGGAGCCTAAAAGCCGCCACTTACTGACAAGAAAAGACTGTAGATTTTGTGGGAGAATCGGGTATCCGTCATTTCCTGGAGCACAGATTCCCTTCATACAACAGAAAAGAAAGAAGCGAAAGTATTTAGGGACAGAATTCTGGAAACATGTCTGCATTGTACATGTGCAAGGTCTCAACATGGACATATGACCAGTTAGGCAGGCCCTCTCTGGTTTCTCCTGAGTGTGTGCAGAGCCTTGCACATAATAGAGAGCCTTCCAGATGACCAGTGATAATTGTAGGATCTCCACTAATTCCTCAGATCTCCATGTTAAAATCCTGGCCAATCTGTAGCTTTCCCCAACCAGGATTATAATCTCATGCTACTTGCAAGACTGAGCTTCCCACTCCTTTGCTACAAAAATCACTACTGTTTCTAACAATACTGTGGAAACATAGGGTTGTTCCACGCTCTGCTCCAGATCAAGTGAGCCTTCCCTAGCATCAACAGCAAAGCTACTGGTTTCCACAGGTTGCCCTACCCTAATAAAAACTACCATGATAGTAAGTCAGTGGTGAAAATGGGCGTAGTGGGAGCAGCCTCAGGGGCTAAAATATGATAGACATAAGGTTCAGTAGTTTTTCGTGAATAATTGCTTCTCAATCTGTTGTATAATTTTAGTCGCTTTCCAAAGTCCTGAAATGGCTGTTTTTGACAGTTTAATCCACTTTAATCGTCACTTTGGAATAAGTGGACTTGCTGAGCTCTTCACTCAGCCACTCTGCATTAAACGCATTTTTATTTTACTTATTTTTGTTGACATGTAATAATTATACATATTTATGGAGTACAATGTGATGTTTTAATGTATGTATACATTGTGTAATGATCATATTACGGTAATTAGCATATGATCACCTTAAACATTTATCATTTCTTTGTTGGGAAAGCATTCAAAATCCTCTGTTCTAGCTATGTGAAATATCCGATGCGTTACAGTTAGCTACAGTCACCCCACTGTAAAACGGAGTAGCAGAATTTATTCCTCTTACCTAACTGTAACACTGTACCCACTGACCAGCCTCTCCCCATCTACCCTCTCCTCATTCTCCCCAACCTCTGGTAACCACTATTGTACTCACAACTTCTAGGAGATCAATTTTTTGGATTCCACACATGAGTGAGATCATGCAGTATTTGTGTCTCTCTGCCTGGCTTATTACACTTTGCATAATGCCCTCCAGGCTCATCCATATTGTCCCAAATAACAGGATTTCATCCTTTTTATGACTGAATAGTATTTTATTGTGTATGTATAATACATTTTCTTTATCCATTCATCCACTGATGGACATTTAGGTGGACTCCATATCTTGGCTATTATAAATAAACATGGAAGTCCAGCTGTCTCTTTGACATACTGATTTCATTTCCTTTGGATAAATACTCCAGTAGTGAGACTGCCGGATCAGTTTTTTTTTAACTTTTATAATTTTCTGGGGAACCTCCACACTGTTTTCCACAACAGCTGTACTAACTTACCTTCTCACCAATAGCATATAAGAGTTCCTGTTTCTCAGCCGGGCGCGGTGGCTCATGCCTGTAATCCCAACACTTTGGAAGGCCGAGGAGGGTGAATCACTTGAGGTCAAGAGTACGAGACCAGCCTGGCCAAAATGGGAAAACCCCATCTCTACTAAAAATACAAAAATTAGCCAGGCGTGGTGGTGCACATCTGTAATCACAGCTACTCGGGAGGCTGAGGCAGGGGAATCGCTTGAACCCAGACGTAGAGGTTGCAGTCAGCCAAGATCATGCTGCTGCACTCCAGCCTTGGCAACACAGTGAGACTCCGTCTCAAAAAATAAATAAATAAATAAATAAATAAATAAAAATTTAGATAAAATTGCCTTCAAAGAGTATAAACAACACTGAAGACCAATCCTTCCTCAACTAACTTATAAGCAATATAAAAAACATTCTTATGATCTTAAGATGTACTTTATTAGATTGTCCACTTATGACAGCCTGAATTACACATTTGGGACTTGCCAAAATACCCAACTGTACAATTATAGCCTTGAATACTGACAACTTGTTTAGGCTCACTTAAATAACCAAATGAGAAAACTGGGTGCCAGCTGTCACACCTATATAATGAAATACTAACTTTACCATGCTTTCCTTTTTCTCTTGCTACTTCACAAATTTCCTCTCAAACAGATTTTCTACTAAGAACAAAGTCAATCCATGAAATTTGAGTTTTTGGCACCACTGCACTCCAGCCTGGGAGACAGAGCGAGACTCCATCATTCTCAGCAAACTATAGCAAGGACAAAAAACCAAACACCGCATGTTCTCACTCATAGGTGGAAACTGAACAATGAGAACACATGGACACAGGAAGGGGAACATCACACACCAGGGACGGTTGTGGGGTGGGGGGAGGGGGAGGGATAGCATTAGGAGATATACCTAATGCTAAATGACCAGTTAATGGGTACAGCACACCAACATGGCACATGTATACATATGTAACAAACCTGCACGTTGTGCACGTGTACCCTAAAACTTAAAGTATAACAATAATAAAATAAAAAGAAAAAAAAGAGAGTTCTTCTTTCTCCACATCCTCACTAACATTTTTTGTGTGTTTTTGATAATAGACATTTTAACCACAGTAAGGCAATACCTCATTATGGTTTTGATTTGCATTTCCCTGATAGTGATGTTGAGCGTTTTATCATAAACCTGTTGACTATTTGTATGTCATCTTTGGAGAAATATCTATTCAGATCTTTTGCCCATTTTTAAATCAGACTATTTGGGGTTTTTTGCTATTGAATGCATAATGTGCAAATATTTTCTAATGTCATAGGCTGTCTCTTCATTGTTGATTTTTTCCTTGCTGTGCAGGAGCTTTTTAGTGTGATGTAGATCCATTTATGTTTGCTTTTGTTGCTCTTATTTTTGAGGTCTTGTCTAAAATAAATCTTTGTCCAGACCAATCACTTACAGTGTTTCTCCTGTGTTTTCTTCTAGCAATTTCATAGTTTCAAGTCTCACATTTAAGTATTTAATCCTTTTGAATTGACTTACATACAGAGAGAGAGAGGGGCCTAGTTTCATTCTTTTACATGTAGCTATCCAGTTTTCCCAGTTCCATTTACTGAAAAAACTGTTCTTTCCCCATTGTGTGTTCTTGGCACCTTTCATAAACATCAGTTGGCTGTAAATGCCTGAATTTATTTCGGGACTCTCTATTTTGTTCCATAGGTCTATGCGTCTATTTTTTATGCCAATGCCATACTGTTTTGGCTAATATACCTTTGTAGTAGATTTTGAATCAGGTAGCATGATGTCTCCAGCTTTGTTCTTTTTGCTCAAGATTGCTTGGCCTATTTAGGGTCTTTTGTGGCTCCATATGAATTTAAATTTTTTTTTCTATTTCTGTGAAGAATGTCATTGGAATTTTGATAGAAATTGCACTGAATCTGTAGATTGCTTTGGGTAGTATAGACATTTTAAAAATATTAATTCTTACCATCCATGAACATGATATATCTTTCAATTCATTTATATTGTCTTCAATTTCTTTCACCAATGTTTTATAATTTTCAATGAAGAGATCTTTCACTTCCTTAAGTATATTCCTAGGTAGGTGTTTTGTTTGTTTGTTTGTTTGTTTAAAGACAGAGTCTCACTCTGTCATTCAGGGTGGAGTGCAGTGGCACAATAACAATTCACTCCAGTGCCAAACTCCTGGGCCCAAGCAATCCTCCTCCCTCAGTCTCCTGAGTAGCTGGGACTACAGGTGGGTGCCACTGTGCCCTATTAATTTTTTTATTTTTATTTTGGTAGAGACAACGTCTCCCAATGTTGCCCAGCCTAGTCTCAAACTCTTGCCTTCAAGAGATCCTCCTGCCTCAGCCTCCGAAAGTGTTGGAATTACAGGCATGAGCCACTGCATCTGACTTATAAATAGGATTTCTTTCTTGATTTTTCAAATAGTTTCCTATTGGTGTATAGAAATGCTACTGATTTTTGCATTTTGCTTTTTGTATTCTGCAACTTTACTGAATTTGTTTATTAGTTCTAAGAGTTTTTGGTGGAGTCTTTAGGGTTTTCTGTATAGATAATCATATTGTCTGCAAACAGGGACAACTTGATTTCGTCCTTGTTAATTTGGGTGCCTTTTATTTCTTTCTCTTGCTTAACTGCTCTGGCTAGAATTTCCAGGACTATATTGAATAGCAGTGGTAAAAGTAAGCATCCACATCTTGTTCCAGAAATCAGAGAAAAAGTTTTCAATTTTTTTTTTTTTGCAGGAGACCAAAGCTTTATTATTATTCAAATCAGTCTTTTTTTAAAAAAAAATTATTATTATGAAATTTTCCTTGTTTAATATGATGTTAGCTGTGGTTTTATCATATCTAGCCTTGTTTATGTTGAGGTATACTCCTTCTGAACATAATTTGCTGGAAGCTTTATCACAAAAAGATGAAGTCTGTCACATGCTCTCTCTGTATCAATTGAAATGACCACATAGTTTTATCCTTCAATCTGTTAATGTGATGTATCACATTTACTGATTTGCTTATGTTAAACCATCTTTACATTCCTGGGTTGAATCCTTCTAGATAATGGTGAATTACCTTTTTAATGGGCTTTTGAATCTTTATTGCTAGTATTTTATTTTTTTTACAACTATACTCATCAGGAAAACCAGTCTGTAGTTTTCTCTTTTGTTGTGTCTTTGATTGGTTTTCAAATCAAGACAATGCTGGTCTCATAAAATGGGTTTGAAAGAGTTCCTTCATTTTCAGTTTCTTAGAATATTTTGTGAATAATTTGTATTAGTTCTTCAAATGTTTTCTAGAATTCAGCAGTGAAACCATCAGGTCCTTGAATTTTCTTTGATGGGAGGCTTTATTACTGCTTCAATCTTGCTACTCAACATCAGTCTGTTCAGATTTTCTATTTCTTCTTGACTCAAGCTTGGTAGGTTGTATGCGTTCAAAAATTTATCCATTTCTCCTAGGTTATCCAACTTGTTGGCATATAATTGTTCATAGCAGTTTCTTATGATCCACTGCATTTCTAGGGTATCAGTTGTAATGATTCCTTTTTCATTTCTAATTTTATTTAGTCTCTTTTATTTTCTTAGTCTGCATAAAGGTTTGTCAATTTTATCTTTTCAAAAATAAACTTTTGTTTCCTGGGTTTTTTTTTTTGTATTTTTAAGTCTTTATTTCATTTATATTTGCTCTGATCCTTATTATTTCTTTCCTTCCCTCAATTTTGTTTTCCTAGTTCCTTGAGACGTGTTAGTTTTCCTAGTTCCTTGAGGTAGACAGTTAGGTTGTTTATTTGAGATCTTTCTTCTTTTTTAATGATGGCATTTATTACTGTATACTTCCCTCTAAGGACTGCTTTTGCTATTTTGGTATACTGCATTTCCATTATCATTTGTCTTAAGAAACTTTTATTTATATATTTATTTAGAGATGGAGTCTTGCTCTGTCGCCCAGGCTGGAGTGCAGTGGCATGATCTCGGCTCACTGCAACTTCCGCCTCCTCAGTTCAAGTGATTCTCCTGCCTCAGCCTCCCAAGTAGCTGGGACTACAGGTGCTTGCCACTACACCCAGCTAATTTTTATACTTTTAGTAGAGACGGGATTTCACTGTGTTGGCCAGACTGATCTTGAACTCCTGACCTCAAATGATTCACCTGCCTTGGCCTCCCAAAGTGCTAGGATTACAGGCATGAGACAACGTGCCCGGCCAAGAAATTTTTTAAATTCCCTTTTAATTTCTTCATTGGCTCATTGGTTGTTCAGGAGTATATTGTTTAATTTCTATGCATCTGTACAGTTTCTAAACTTCCTCCTGTTGTTGATTTCAACTTCTATTACAGTCAGAAAAAACGCTTGATATAATTTCACTTTTTTTGAATTTGTTAAGCCTTATTTTGTAGCCTAAGATATGATCTATTCTGGAGAATGTTTCATATGCAGTTGAGAAGAATGTGAATTCTGAAGCTGTTGGACAGAATGTTCTATAAATGTCTGTTAGGTCCATTGGGTATAGAGTACAGTTTAAATTCAGTTTTTCTATGTTAATTTTCTGTCTGGATGATCTGTCCATTGTTGAAAGTGAGGTGAAATTCCCTACTATTACTGTATTCCAATATATTCCATTAGCTCTATTAATGTTTGCTTTATATATTTAAGTGCTCTGATGTTGGGTATATATATATATATATATATATATATATATATATATATGTGTGTGTATATATATATATATATATATATTTACAACTGTTATATCCTTTTGCTCTACTGTCCCCTTTAACATTACATAATGGCCCTGTTTGCCTCTTTTTCTAATTTTTTACTTGTATTCCATTTATCAGATAGAAATATAGGAATTTCTGCTTTCTTTTAGTTTATATTTGCGTGGAATACCTTTTCCCATCCATCATTTTCAGTCTACACATGTTCTTAAGGGTGAAGTGAGTCTCTTGGGGGCAGCATATAGTTAGGTCTTATTTTTCTATCCATTAGCCACTCTGCGTCTTTTCAAAGAAGAATTTAATCAATTTACACTCAAGTTAATTATTAATAGGTAAAGACTTGATGCTGCCATATTATCAACTTGTTCTCTGCTTGTTTTGCAGAACCTTTGTTCCTCTCTTCTTACTGTCTTCCTTTCCAGGTAGGAGGTTTTCTCTATCAGTATGTTTTGATTTCTTACTTTTTATTTGTATTGTATTTATTAAAGGTTTTGCTTTGTAGTTACCATGAGACTTACAAAAAACATCTTACAGTTATATTATTTTAAGCTGACAATTTTGTTCAAAAAAAACACTAACTCCATTGCTCTCCCATATTTCATATTTTGATATCATAATTTACATCTTTTTATATACATCTTTTTATACCTTATTATATTATTATACCTTATTATATACATAATTTACATCTTTTTATACCTTAGCAAATTATTGTAGTTGCTATTATTTTTGTTTTGTCTTTTAACCCTTCCTAACAACGAAGGTTAAACCATAAGTGGTTTATGTCCCACAATCACTGCATTAGAGTATGTTGAATTTGCCTGGACACTTACTTTTTCCTGTGGGTTTTATATCTTCAGATTTTTTTCATGTTACCCAGTAGCATCCTTTTCTCTCAGTATGACAAACTCTCTTCACCTTTTTTTGCAAGGCAGATCTGGTTACAGGGAATTCCCTCAGCTTTTGTTTGAGAATGCCTTCAGATTTCCTTCATTTAAAAAAAATAGCTTTACTGTGTACAGTATTCTTGGTTGACAGGTTTCTCGTTTGTTTGATTGTTTCCCTTCAGCACTTTGAATATATCATTCTACTCATTCTCATCTGTCAGGTTTCTGCTGAGAAGCCTGCTTCCAGGAGTATGGAAATTCCCTTATTTGTTATTTGCTTTTCTCTTTCTGCTTTCAATATCCACTCTTTGTCTTTGGCAGTTTGTTTCTAATATATCTTATAGTTGTTTTATTTGGGTTAAACCTGATTGGTAAATCTAGTCTTGTTATACCTGGATATTTGTATATTTCTCCAGTTTTCAAAAATTTTCTTTTATTGCTTCTTTGAAAAAGCTTTCTATCCCCTTCCCCTACTCCAGTCCCTCTCGAACATCAATGATACACAGATTTGCTCTTCTGATGGTGCCCCATAAATCCTAACAGTTTTCTTCATACCTTCTAATTCCACTTTTCATTTTTCTCCTCCAACTATATAGTTTTGAAGAGCCTGTCTTCGAGCTGATTTTTCGTCTGCTTGATGAATTCTGCTGGTGATGCCCTCTATTGCATTTTTCATTTTGTTTATTATATCCTTCAACTCCAGGATTTCTATTTGATTTTTTATATGATTCCCAATTTCTCTGTTGGATTTCTCTGATAAATTTCTGAATTGTTTCTGTTTTCTAGAAGTTCACTGAGTTTTACTCAAAGAACTATTTTGAATTCTTTGTCCACCAGATCATTCATCTACATGGTTTAGGATCAGTTGTTAGGACCTTGCTTTGTCCTTTTGGTGAGGCCATTTTTCCTAGTATATTCCTATTATTTGTGGACATGCATCTCTGTCTACTCATTAACAAATTAGATATTTATTCTAGTCTTTGTAGTCTAGGTTTGTTTGTGATCAGTCTATTTTAGTGGGCTTGTTTAGGAATCTGAGCTGACTGCTGTATTCTATTTCAGTGCTAGAAGGCACCCTAAGCCCAGGTTAGACACGAGTCTCACAATGGCTCTGTCACTGATGCAAAGGATAGACCCACGGAAGGTCCCTGAAGGGCCCCTAGGCCATGTGGGAGAGCCAGTCAGGCCCTCAAGTCCAGAGGATCTGTGGAATGTGCTTCTTGCAGCATGATGCCCATAAACGGCCCCTTTAGTGCAGCTCCTATGGCAGGTATCATGAGCCACTTCCAAGTTCCACACACCGGCTGCTGCTAGTCCCACATCTTCTGTTTGTTCCTAGCTGGCCTCAGATGGTTGGGCCCCATCAGGACTTGTGTTGCTCCCAATGGGCCAGTGCAGAAGTGAGCCTCCTGTGAAGGGACCCAGGATTGTGGGGAAGCCAAATGTGCAGCTCCAACTCATTTTTTCCAATATAGAAACCATGAGTCCAGGAGAAACTTCCACGTGTGGTACTGTAATGGCTTGTAGAAAGAGGCATCTTAGTCACAGAGAACCAATAATCTTATCTTCCAACTACAGTTTATTCATCTTTGCAGTTCATGGGGGCTTTACAGCCTTGGTTGCATGTTCAGGTTCCCTTAGCTTTTATGAAGGTACTTTCATATGTGGATAGTTGTGCAAAATGATGTTTTTGTGGGGGTACTATCAGTGAAGAAAGAAACTCTGCCATCTTGTTCCAACCACATTGCATTTTAAATATAATTTGCCAAAGTAACCTACTAAAAAGGTCATAGAAAATATTTTGAAAGATGTCTGAGAAACTGCCACGATGCTAAAATTACTTTCTTTCCCCCACTATTAACATGCCTTTGTTGAAAAAACTCTAAGCAGAGTAAATAGCATTTGCTAAGACACAGAAGCATGTCAGGAAACTGTATGGTTAAGTGCAGGATGGGTGAACTTCTCTCTATTTTTAGTTCTTCCTTTCTAACCACATAGAAGCTCAAGTCTTTTACACCCTAAAATTGTCCTCTCTTGGCCAGAAATAATTCAGTATTCTCAATCTAATCTCTTTCCTCTTCTTATATTTCTTAAAAGAGTTACTTAAACACTGTTCTCTCCTTCCTTATCTTTAGTCAATCCTCAATGCACTACAATGAGGTTTCTTTCCCAGTTTTATTAAAATCACCCTTGTAGAGGTTCCATAATCCCCCCAAACTAATGAACTTGTAAGAACAGATTTTGGTCTTTATCTTATTAAACCTCCTTGTTTATTTGACAACACCGAATATCACTTCTTCTTTGACAATCTCCATCCCTTATTCTATCCCTGTCTTGGCTCTCATATTGTCATCATTTTTCTGCAGATCCTTTAGCTAGGGCTTTCTCTTCCTGGACCTACCCCTTAAATGTTAGTGATGTCCTAACATCTACTTTTAACCCACCTCTCCCACATTTTCCTCAAAGATAATTTCAGCCATTCTCATTGCTTCATACTGATGACTCTGAAGACTTTATCTCCAGTTGTAAAGTTTTTCTCACAGTTTAAGACTATTTCTAATAACTGAAAAATAGTTCCATTTCAGTGTTCCACAGTGAACTCAAACTCATCAATATTTAAAACTGAATACATTTTCCTCCCACCTCCAAACCCACACTTCCTCCCCCCTGTGTTTCCTATCTCATTTGCTGGCATCAAGATCATCCAGTTACCTAAACCAAAAATTGCATTATAACCTTTGAGTCTTTCTCCTCTCTTTCTTCTGCCATCTATAGTATCCAATTCATTTATAAGCCTCACTAATTTTATCTCCAGAATATCTCTAATCTATCTCTTCTGCACCCCTCATTTCTTACATTTTGAGGTAGTCATTTCAGTATAACTGTTTCAAGACAACTGTCAAAATGGCCATGAGAAAAAATGAATATTGATCTAATTTAGCTCTTTACTAAGACTAAAAAAAAATGACTTTCCAATGATTCGCCTACATGATTTTAAGATCCTAGCAGTTGATGTTTCTGGATAATTTGCAGGTTAATAACACGCCAAAACTGTGGGGTCATTTGGCTTGCCATTTACTTCTTAGTTTATCAGTTTACTAGTAATGTTGTTTTTCATAAGTAAATGACTCTTCCATTATAGAGCATATCCACACAACTTTCAGATTTCTTCACCACTAAAGTAATTATCACTGGATCATAAAATACCTTTTCAAGCCTTTAATAACATTGAGTAATTTATCATAAAAAATGCATGGTGAATAAACTAAAGGTGTATTTGTTGTCTAAAAGACATTTTGAAGAGAATATTTTGGTTTCCAGTTGTAGATTTTTCTACAACTGATCCTTTAAAGAAGTATATGTGGCTACTGGATGACATAATTTAAAATAATCTATACCTAGAGTTCATTGATAACATACTAGTTTATTTGCATGCTTGAAACCACTTTGCAAAAATGCTTCCAAATATGATGAAAGCTCCCTAAACAATAGTGGAAGATACAGTTTCATGTTCTATTTTCATATTATATTCAATTATATCTTTCTATCAGAAGTCTGCAATTTCAGACAGATCCAGAATATTAAGAATATATAAGATCTAGAATGTCTCATCTGGAAAGGGAACATTAAAAATACTATCTTTTAAGCAATTAAGAGTGTAGTTATATAGATTCAGTGATTTAAAGGAGAGTATCTTTATTTTGTTTATCATGAAAAATCATGGGCTTTCAGGTGAGATTTACATAGATTTGAATTTTGTTTATTATCCCTATGATCTCAAATGATTTACTTAAATTTTTTTGAATCTTCTTCCTTATATATAATATACAGATGATAATAGTTATTTCTCAGGGCTAAAATGAGTAAAATATAAATCTACGTATACTAAATATCTAATATATATGCCACAAAACAGATTCTTAAACCAAATCAGTTATCTTTCTTCAAACATAGTAGGACAGACGTGAAAACTGTTTTTCACTAAATTAGAGCAAAAGGCCAAATGATGTGACACTGAAGTGTATAATATATTCTTATGGAGTAGCACCTGTCATTTTACCAATTTTATTCTCTCTCAGTTCTAGTTACACGTATTTTTCATTTCTAAAAAAAATGGCATTTTTGGATGACATTACCTGAAATCTTGTTTTCAAGTAACTTTCTGTTAGATGCTTCTCACACCTATTTATTCTTCTCCTTGAGCACACAGCTCAATTACATTCCCCAACTGCCCCTGTGGTTCTTGCTTAGCAGAAAATAATGTGCACAGCTTCTAGATCTGCCCCCAAAATCTCCTGCATGTGATCTCTTCTCTTTATCCATTCATGTCAGCTGAGATAGAGATGACCCCATCACTGTTCTTGGAAGTCTTCTATAGAATACAGTAGAATCACACAATGTAAATAAGGGCTTAACTCTGTGACTTACAGAATACTGTGTAAGTAATACTGTATGACTCTAAGGCTAGGAAATATAAGGCACTGAAACTTTCACCTTGGTCTCTTGGGTTGCTCTCTCTGGCAAAAGCTAGACATTATATCATAAGGACAACCAAGCAGCCTCTCTAAAGAAACTTATGTGAAGAGAAACTGATGTTACTTTCCAACAACAGCATCATTTTGACTGCTATATGAGTGAGCGCTTTTGGAGATTCTTGCCCCACCCAGTCAAGTGTTCAGGTGACTACATGCCCAGACAGTATCTGATTCTTCATGAGAAAGTCTTAGCCAGAACTGCCCAGACAAGCCACTCCTTAATTCCTAACCTGCAGAAACCATAAAATAAATGTTTTCTGTTTTTTAAGCCAAAAAACAGGAACTTTAACCTCTACCTGCAATTATAGATAAAAACAAATAGATAACAGACCTATATGTAAAATCTAAACTATAAAACATCTAAAGGAGCAAAGGAAAAAAATCTTTGTGACATTGAGTTAGGCAAGGATTTATTACGACACAAAAGATATAAATCATAAAGGAAAAGAATTGCCAAATTAGACTTCATAAAATTAAACTTTTACTCTTCAAAAGACATTTTTCAGAAAATGAAAACAAATTACAGAATGAAAGAAATATGTGCAAAACACATCTGATAAAAAAATTGTCTAATATATATAAAGAACTCTAATAAATCAGTAAGACAAGTAACAGAATTTACAAATGAGCAACATATTCAAATAGACACTTGACCAAGAAGATATACAAATGGTAAATAATCACATGAAAAGATACACAAAAACATTAGTCATTAGGGAAATGCAAATTAATACTGCAATATACCACAACACACACACACTAGAATAGCTAAATTTTTTTAAACTAGTAAGGCCAAATGCTAACAAGGGTATAGAGCAACTGATTCATCTATTGCTGGTAGGGATGGAAAAGTAGCTTGGTAATTTCAACCCAGCGAACCTATTCGTAGGTATTTTTCCAAGTGAAATGGGAGCATATATTTGCCAAAAAAATTGTAATCAAATTCATTATTCATTATCAGAGGAACCACCCCCAATATTTCAATGTAGGTTCTTTTCTATTTCCCTACGTGTTGGCCGGTCTGAGAAATAAAGGGAAAGAGTACAAAAGAGAGATATTTAAAAGCTGGGAGTCCGGGGCAGACATCACATGTCGGCAGTTTCCATGATGCCCCCCAAGCCACAAAACCAGCAAGTTTTTATTAGCAATTTTCAAAGGGGAGGGAGTGTACGAATAGGGTGTGGGTACAGAGATCACATGCTTCAAGGGGAACAAAATATCACAAGCCAAATGGGGGCAGAGCGAGATCACAGGACCAGGGCGAAATTAAAATTGCTAATGAAGTTTCATGCCCCACTGGGCACACATTGTCATTGATAACATCTTATCAGGAGACAGAGTTTGAAGGCAGACAATCAGTCTGACTAAAATTTACTAGGCAGGAATTTCCTCATCCTAATAGGCCTGGGAGTGCTACAGGAGACTGGGGCTTATTTTATCCCTTATCAACAACCATATAATTCAGACATTCCTAGAGCAGCCATTTTAGAGACCTCCCCCTAGGAACGCATTCTCTTTCACAGGGCTGTTCCTTGCTGAGAAAAAGAGTTCAGCAATATTTCTCCTATTCACTTTTGTAAGAAGAGAAACATGGCTCTGTTCCACCCGACTCCCAGGCAGTCAGACCTAATGGTTATCTCCCTTGTTCCCTGAACATCACTGTTACCCTGTTCTTGTTTCAAGGCGCCCAGATTTCATATTGTTTAAACACACATGCTTTACGAACAGTTTGTGCAGTTAACACAATCATCACAGGGTCCTGAGGCGACATACACCCTCAGCTTACGAAGATGATGGGATTAAGAGATTAAAGACAGGCATAGGAAATCCCAAGAGTATTGACTGGGGAAGTGATAAATGTCCATGAAATCTTCACAATTTATGTTCAGAGACTGCAGTAAAGACAGGCATAAGAAATTATAAAAGTATTAATTTGGGGAACTAATGTATGTCCATGAAATCTTCACAATTTATGTTCTTCTGCCATGGCTTCAGCTGGTCCCTCCATTCAGGGTCCCTGACTTCCCGCAACAATTCACGATAGCCAGTAGCTAGAAATAACCCAAACATCCATTAACTCATGACTAAACTGCAGCATATCTATACAACAGATTGCTACTCAGCAATAAAAAAGAACCAACTGCTAACATGATGTACATAAATCTAAAAGGCATTATGCTACGTAAAGAAGCCAGATACAAAAGACTATGTACTAAGTGATTCCATGTATATGAAACTGAAGAAAAGGTAAAACTATAATGACAGAAAATAGATCACTGGTTGCCAGGAACCACAAGTGAGGGGAAACGATGAGTTATAAAGGGCATAAGAGAAAGTTTCTGGGGTGATGAAAATGTTTCATATCATAATTCTGGTGGTGATTATGTGGATGTATAACACTTTTCAAACCTGGTGAACTACCACTCAAAATACGTTCATTCTGTTGTATATAATTTATGCCTTCATACCGTTTATTTTCAATGGTTCTGTATCAAAACCCACATCAAAATTTTTAGACAAAAATCAGTCAAATGTCCTGTTTTTGAAGAGTGAGCAAGCTGAAGGCAGGGACTTCAACTGGTGGTTCATATATTAAAGATGCAAAAACATAGTGATCGAAGATTTTTATTAGGGAATAGATGAAGCAAAATGGCAAGGCACGAGAAAGTAAAGAGTGCTAACTAAATAACCGCAGAGGAACATTCAAAAATCAATTAATTACTCTATCACATCAACAGCTAAAGAAGAAAAATCCTAAGATCGTATCAATAAAAGCAATTAACAAAATCCAATACTTATTCATGATAAAAACTCCCAGCAGACTAAGAATAGAAAAGAACTTCCTCACCTTGATAAAGAACACCTACAAAGACCTACAACTAACATCTTCATGTTAATAGTAAGAAACTAGATGCTTTTTTGCTAAGATCAGGAAGAGAACAAGAATGTCCCTTCTCACCATTCCTATTGAGCATTGTACAGAAAGTCCTAGTAAATGCAATAAGACACTTAGAAAATAAAATGAAAGCTATGCAGATTGAGAAGGAAGAAATAAAACTGTCTTTATTTTCAGGTGACATAATGACATATGCAGAAATTTCCAAAGATTTGATAAAACAAACAAAAGCTTCTTAGAATTAATAACCAAGAATAGTAAGGTTACCTGTATACAAAGTCAATATACAAGACGTCAACTGCTTTTCTACATACCACAAATAAGCCATTGAAATTTTAAATTTAAAACTCAGTATCATTCATATTAATAACAAGAAGTACTTAAAATTAATCCAATAAAATATGTACATGATCTATGAGGAAAATTATAAAACTGATGGAAAAAAATCAAAGAATATCATGTCACCAGATCTGTCTTACAAGAAATGCTAAAGAGTTCTTCAACCTGAAAGAAAAGAATGTTAATTAGTAAGAAAAACATTTGAAAGTATAAAACATACTGATCTGAAAGTATAAAAGTTACTGAAAAAAGTAAGTACAAATATGCAAATATGTAAAATATACAAAATATGCAATACTGTAATGGCAGTATGTAAATCACTTACATCTTCAGTATGAAGGTTAAAAGACAAAACTATTAAAAACAATAATAGGTATAATAATTTTTAAAAGAATACACAGGTTAAAAAGATATAAACTGTAGTATCAAAAATTGTAAATATGGGAGAAGGAGATGAAGTGTAAAGTTTTTTTTAATGCAGTTAGTTAAGCTGTTGGCAGGTTAAAACAGCCTTTATAAGATGTTTTTCATAAGCCTCATGGTAATCACAATGCAAAAGTATAGCAAATACATAAAAGATAAAAAGTAAGGAAATAAAGTATGCCATTATAAAATATTATTAATCACAAAGGAAGATTAAAAGAGAGTAAGACAGGAACAAAAAGTCTACAAAAAAGAAAGAAAAAGAAAGAAAGAAAGAAAGAAAGAAAGAAAGAAAGAAAGAAAGAAAGAAAGAAAACAATCACCAAATGGCAGTAAAAAGTCTTTATCTAAAGATAAATATCTCGAATATAAATGGATTGAGTATTTCAATCAAAAGACATAGAGTGGCTGAATGGAAGAAAAACAAAACAAAACAAAACAAAAACACAACGCCCCAATTATAGCTCCCTACAAGAGACTCACTTTACCAGTAAGGAGAAAAGTTTACCTGAAACTCACCTGAGACTCACTTTACCTAAAAATGTAGTGAAGAGAAAAGTTATCCCATGCAAATAAAAACCAAAGCAGAGCAGGAGTAGCTATTTTTATATCAGACAACACAGACTTTAAGTTCAAAAGTGTAAAAAGAGACAAGGGGAGAGGTAGGTGGAGGAAGATAGGGAATAGAAAGCTTCACCAATTGTCCCCTGTGCAAGAACATCAATTTAACAACTATCTACACAGAAAAAGAAAACCTTTGTAAGAACCAAAAATCAAGCGAACACTCATAGTCCTGGTTTTAACTTCTTATTGCTGAAAGAGGCACTGAAGAGATAGAAAAAAAAAAAAACAGTCCTGAACTGCCAATACCACCCCTCTATAACCCCTGGCATCAGTGACATGGTGGGGTAAGCATCACTGGGCACAGGGGGAGGGAGAACACAGCAACTGTGGGGCACTGAACTTAGTGCTGTCCTGTTAGAGGAGATAGCAAAACCTGACCCAACTCCTGCTGATGCCCGCCCATGGAGGGAGCATTTAAACCAGCCCTGGCCAAAGGGAAATCCCTGACCCCAGCGGTACAAATTTGAGTTCCTGCAGACCTTGCCACCAAGGGCTACAGTGCTATGTACAAGTAAATGTGAAAGGCAGTCTAGACCATAAGGACTGCAACTCTTAGGCAAGTCATAGTGATGAACTAGGCCCAGAGACAGTGGACTGGGGGGAAACATGACATACTGAGACATCAGCTGGGGCAGCCAGGGGTGTGCTAGTATCACCCCTCCCCTAACCCCAGTCTGCATAGCTCACAGCTCCAAAAGACACCCTTCCTTCCACTGGAGGAGAGGAGAGGAAGAGTAGGGAAGACTTTGTCTTACATCTTGGATACCAGCTCTGCCAAAGCAAGATAGGGCACCATCAGAATCATGAGGTCCCCATTCCAGGCCATAGCTCCTAGACATTTCTAGATACAACCTGAGCCAAAAGGGAACCCACTGCCTTGAAGGAAAAAACCCAATCCCAGCAGCGTTCATCACCTGCTATCTGAAGAGCCTTGGACATGAAATAACCAGCAGTGATACCCAGGTACTACATCAAGGGCCTTGGGTGAGCCCCTGAGACTTGCTGGCTTCCGATGAAACTCAGCACATTACTAGCTGTAGTGGCTATGGGAAAAAACTCCTTCTGCTTGAGAAAAACAGAGAAAAAAGTAAAGGGGACTTTGTCTTGCACCTTAGGTTCTAGCATGTCCACAGGGAAGTAGAGCACTAAGTGGGCTCTTATAGTCCCTGATTCCAGAACTTGACTCTTGGACAGCACTTCTAAACCTGCCCTGGCCAAATGGGGAGCCCACTGCCCTGAAGCCTGAGTCCCAGGCCAGGAAGCATTCATCACAAGCTGACTTCAGAGCCCTTGGACCTTAAAGGAATATTATGGTAGTCTGGCAGTACTCCTCGTAGCCTGGGTGGGTGGTAGTTATGGGGTGAGGTTCCTCTGCCTTTGGAAAGTGGAGAGAACAGTGGGAAGAACTGTGTCTTGTGGTTCAACTGCCAGCTCAGGGGCAGTATGACAGAACAACAGGTAGAATTCTAAGGTCCCTGACTCCTGGATGGCACCTCTGAACCTCCAACCCTGGGGTCTGAGGGACCTCCCCACCCTAAAGGGAAGGACACAGGCATGGCTGGCTTTGCCACCTGCTGATGGTACAGCTCCAGAGCCTGAGTGAACATAGGCAGTAGCCAGGGAGTGGTGACAGAGAGAGACTGTTTGTTTAGGAGAAACTCAGGACAGAGAGAGAGAGAATGTTTGTTTGGGAGAAAGTAAGAAAAGAGAACAAGAGTCTCTGCATGGTAATCCAGAGAATTCTCCCAGATCTTATCCAAGACCATCAAGGCAGTACCTCTATGAGTCTGCAAGAACCACAGCATTACTGGGCTTGAGGAGCTTGCCCCTAAAGTAGATACAGCTTAGATTAACACCCAAGTCCTTTCAAATATCTGAAAAGCATTCCCAAAAAGGACAGGTACTAATAAGCCCAGACAGTGAAAACTACAGTAAATACCTAACTCTTTGATGCTCAGACACCGAAAAACATCTACTAGCATCAACACCATCCAGGAAAATATGACCTCACCAAATGAACTCAATAAGACACCAGGGACCATTCCTGAAGAAACAGAGATATGTGAAACTTCAGAAAGAGAATTCAAAATAACTGTGTTCAGAAAAATCAAAGAAATTCAAGATAACACAAAGAAGGAATTCACAAATCTATCATAGAAATATAACAGAGATTGAAATAATTTTTTCAGATTAAGCAGAAACGCTGGAGCTGAAAAATGCAATTGGAGCTAAGGAACAGATCAGAGTCCTTTAATAGCAAAATTGATGAGGCAGAAGAAAGAATTAGTGAGCCTAAAGGCAGGTTATATGAAAATACAGTCAGAGAAGCCAAAAAGAAAAAGAATAAGAAACAATGAAGCATGCCTACAGGATCTTTAAAAAGGCTCAAAGGTGCGAATCTAAGCATTATTGGCCTTAAAGAGGAGGTAGAGAAAGAGATAGGGTAGAAAATGTATTGAAATGGATTCCCAAACCTAGAGAAAGATACCAATATTCAAGTACAAGAAGGTTATAGAACACCAAGCACATTTAACCCAAAGAAGACTATGTCAAGGCATTTGATAATCAAACTCCCAAAGGCTAAGGATAAAGAAAAGATCCTACAGCATGGGCAACATGGCAAAACCATGTCTCAAAAAAAAAAAAAAAGGCAAGAAATGAAATCATAGCAACAGAGAAAATCATCTTCACTATAGAAAGACAGGAAGGGAAGAAAGAAGATCAGAAAACAAATTACAAAATGGCAGAAGTACATCCTCACTTAGAAATGATAACAATGAATGTAAATGGACTAAACTCTCCAATCAAAAGACACAGACTGGCTAAATGAATGAAAAAGCAAAACCCATTGATCTGTTGCCTACAAGAAACAAACTTCACCTACACGGACACATATAGACGGAGAATAAAGAGATGGAAAAAGATATTCCATGCCAACTGAAACAAGAAAACAAACAAAAAAGAGCAGGAATAGCTATACTTATAGTGGAAAAATAGACTTCAAGACAGAAAACTCTGAGAGACAAAGAAAGTCACCATATAATGATAAAGGGATCAATTCGGCAAAAAGATACAACAATTTTAAATATATCTGCCCTCAACACTGGAACATCAAGATATACAAAGCAAATATTATTAGAGCTAAAGAGAAAGATAAACCCCAACACAATAATACCTTCAAACCCCCACTGTGAGCACTGGACAGACCTTCTAGACAAAAAAATCAACAAAGAAACATCAGACTTAATCTGCATCATAGACCTAATGGACCTCATAGATATTTACAGAATATTTCATCCAATGGCTGCAGAATACATATTCTTTTCCTCAGAACACAGATGATTCTCAAGGACAGACCATATTTTAGGTCACAAAATAAGTTTTAAAACATTCCAAAAAAACTGAAATAATATCAAGCATCTTCTCGACCACAGTGGAATAAAACTAGAAATTGTTAAAAAGAGGAATTTTGGAAACTATACAAATACAGAGAAATTAAACAATACGCTCCTGAACGACCAGTGGGTCAATGAAGAAATTGAGAAGGAAATTGAAAAATTTCGTGAAATAAATGATTAAGGAAACACAACATACCGAAACCCAGCAAAAGCAGTACAAAGAGGGAAGTTTATAGCTATAACTGTCTACATCAAAAAAAGGAAGAACTTCAAATAAACCTTCTAATGATGCATCTTAAAAAAATGAGAAAAGCAGAAGCAAACCAAACCCAAAATTAGTTGAAGGAAAGAGCTAATAAAGATCAGAGAACAAATAAATTGAAACTTTAAAAAATGAACAATCAATGAAACAAACCACTGGTTTCTTGAAAAGTTCAACAAAATTGACAAACCTTTAGCCAGACTAAGAAAAAAAGCAAAAAGATACAGATAAATAAGATCAGAAAGGAAAACAGAGACATTATCACTGAGATGGCAGAAATTCAAAGGATCATCAGTGGTTACTATGCGCAACTGTATGCCAATGAATTGGAAAATCTAGAAGAATAGAACACATTCCTAGACACATACAACCTACCAAGATTGAACCATGAAGAAATCCAAGACCTGAATAGACTAATAACAAGTACTGAGATTGAAGCAATAATAAGAAGTCTCCCACTAAAGAAAAGCCCAGGAACCGATGACTTCACTGTTGAATTCTATCAAACATTTAAAGAACTAACACCAATCCAAATCGAACTACTGCAAAACAGAGGACGAGGGAACTCTTCCAAATGTCCAGACTCATTCTACAAGGCCAGTATTACCCTGATACCAAAACCAGACAAACGCATATCAAAAAAAAGAAAAGTATAGGCCAATATCTCTGATAAATACTCACGCAAAAATCATCAACAAAATACCAGCAAACAGAATTCAACAATACATTATAGAAAGATCATTCATGATGACCAATTGAGATTTATCCCTGGGATGCAGGGATGGTTCAAATCTATCAATGTGATACATCGTATCAACAGAATGAAGGAAAAAAACTATGATCATTTGAATTGATACTGAAAAAGCATTTGATAAAATTCCACATCCCTTCATGATTAAAAACCCTCAAAAAAGCTTGAGATAGAAGGAACATACCTCAACATAATAAAAGCCATATATGACAGACCAACAGCTAGTACCATACTGAATGGAGAAAAACTGAAAGCCTTTCCTCTAAGATCTGGAACACAACCAGGATGCCCACTATCACCACTGTTATTCAATATAGCACCAGAAGTCCTAGCTAGAGCACTGTTACCACTGTTAATCAACACAGTACTGCAAGTCCTAGCTAGAGCAATGAGACAGGACAAAGATATAAAGGGCATCCAAATTGGAAAGAAAGAAGTCAAATTATCCTTTTTTGCAGATGACATAATCTTATATTTGGAAAACCCTAAAGGCTCCACCACAAAACTATTAAAACTCATCAACAAATTCAATAAAGTTACAGGATACCAAATTACAATACAAAAATTGGTAGCATTTACATATGCCAATTGTCAACAACGTGGAAAAGAATTTTTAAAAAATAATCCCATTTATGGCCAGGTGTGGTGGTGGCTCATGCCTGTAATCCCAGCACTTTGGGAGGCCGAGGCGGGCAGATCACAAGGTCAGATCAAGACCATCCTGCCTAGCACGGTGAAACCTCGTCTCTACTAAAACTACAAAAAATTAGCCAGGCGTGGTGGTGGGCACCTGTAGTCCCAGCTACTCGGGAGGCTGAGGCAGTTCAAGAATCACAACTGACTTCAAACTATACTACAGAGCTATAGTAACCAAAACAGCATGGGACTGGCATAAAAACAGACACATAGACCAATGGAACTGAAGAGAGAACCCAGAAATAAATCCATACGTCTACAGTGAAATATTTTTTGACAAAGGTGCCAAAAACAGACATTGGAGAAAGAACAGTCTCTTCAATAAATGGTTCTGGGAAAACTGAATATCCATATCCAGAAGGATGAAACTAATCCCCTCTCACCATATACAAAAATCAAAACAAAACGGATTAAAGACTCAAGTATAAGACCTCAAACTATAAAACTACTATAAGAAACACTGGGGAAAATCTCCAGGACATTGGTCTAGGCAAAAATTTCATGGGTAATACCCTACAAACACAGGCACCCAAAGCAAACATGAACAAATGAGACCGTATCAAGTTAGAAAGCTTCTGCACAGCAAAGGATGCAATTAACAAAGTGAAGAGATAACTCACAGGATGGGAGAAAATATTTGTAAACTACCTATCTGACAAGGGATTAATAACCAGAAAATATAAGGAACAGCTCAAACATCTCTGTAGGAAAAAAATCGAATAATCTGATTAACACACGGGCAAAAGATTTGAATAGACATTTCTCAAGAAAAAAAAAGACATACAAATGGCAAACAGGCATATGAAAAGATGCTCAACATCTTTGATCATCAGGGAAATGCAAATCAAAACTACAATGAGATATCATCTCACCCCAGTTAAAATAGCTTACATCCAAAAGGCAGGCAATCACAAATGCTAGTGATGTAGAGATAAAAGAACCCTTGTACACTGTTGGTGGAAATGTAAATTAGTACAACCACTATATAGAACAGTTTGGAGGTTCCTCAAAAAACTAAAAATTAAGCTACCATATGATCCAGCAATCCCACTGCTGGGTATATTTCCAACAAGAAAGGAAATCAGTGTAGCAAAAAGATATGTGTACTCCTGTGTTTGTTGCAACACTGTTTACAATCACTAAGATTTGGAAGCAACCCAAGTGTCCATCAACAGATAAATGGATAAAGAAAATGTGATACTTACATGCAACGGAGGACTATTCAATCATAAAAAAGAATAAGATCCAGTCATCTGTCAGCTGGGCATGGTGGCTCATGCCTGTAATCCCAGCACTTTGAGAGGCCAAGGTGGGTGGATCACCTGAGGTCAGGAGTTTGAGACAAGCCTGGCCAACACGGCGAAACCCTGTCTCTACTAAAATACAAAAAATTAGCCAGGCATGGTGCTGGACACCCATAATCCCAGCTACTCAGAAGGCTGAGGCAAGAGAATCGCTTGAACCCAAGAGGCGGAGGTTGCAGTGAGCTGAGATCGCACCACTGCACTCCAGCCTGGGCAACAAGAGTGAAACTCCATCTCAAAAAAATAAAAATAAAGATCCAGTCATTTGCAACAACATGGATTGAACTGGAGATCATTATGTTAAGTGAAATAAGCCAGGCACAGAAAGACAAACATTGTATGTTCTCACTTATTTGTGGAATCTAAAAATCAAAACAATTGAAGTCATGGACACAGAGAGTAGAAGGATGATGATACGGTTAGGCTTTGCATCCCCCACCCAAATCTCATCTTGAATTGTAGTCCCCAGTTGTTGAGGGACAGACCTAGTAGAAGGTGACTGGATCATGGGGGCAGTTTCCCCCATACTATTCTCATGATAGTGAATGAATTCTCATGACATCTGATGGTTTTATAAGGGGGCTCTTCCCTTTTCTCTCTCTCACTCTCTCTCCTGCCGCCTTGTGAAGAAAGTACCTGCTTCCCTTTCCGCCATGATTGTAAATTTCCTGAGGCCTCCCCAGCCATGCAAAACTGTGAGTCAATTAAACCTCCTTTGTTTATAAATTACCCAATCTTGGGTAGTACCCTTACAGCAGTGTGAGAACAGACTAATACAGATGGTTACCAGGGGCTGGGAATAGTAGTGATGGGTTGCAGGGGGAGGCGGGGATGGTTAATAGGTACAAAAAAAATTGAAAGAATGAATAAGACCTAGTATTTGACAGCACACAGGATGACTATAGTCAATAATAACTTAATTGTACAATTTAAAATAACTTAAAAATATAACTGGATTGTGTGTAACTCAAAGAGTTATATGAGAGAATGAGTATGAGAGAATATGAGTATGAGAGAATACTCTCAAAGAGTATGAGAGAATAAATACTCCATTCTCCATGATGTGCTTATTTCACACTGCATTCTTTACCAAAATACCTCATGTACCCCATAAATATATACACCTACTATGTGTCCACAAAAAATAAAATTAAAAAAATTCAGAGACAAAGAAGGTGATTATATAATAAAAAGGTCAATTCAGCAAGAGACTATAACAATTGTAAATATATGCACTCAACATCAAAGTACCTATATATAAAGCAGACATTAATAGATCTGAAGAGATATTCTGCAATACAAAAAACAGTAAGAGATTTCAACAACCCACTTTCAGCAATGGACAGATCATCCAGACAGAATATCAATAAAGGAACATCAGACTTAATGTACACTCTAGACTAAATAATATATAAGACATTCCATCTAACAACTGCACAATATACATTCTCCTCAACTGTGTATGAAACATTCTCTAGAACAGATCATATGTTAGGCCACAAAACAAGTCTTAACAAATTTAAGAAGACTGAAATAGTATCAAGTATCTTTTTCAACCACAATAGTATAAAACAACAAATTAATAACAGAAAAAGCTTCGGAAAATTCACAAATACATGGAAATTAAACAATATGCTCCTGAACACCAAGGAGACATTTCAACTGATACAACAGAAATACAAAGAATCATAAAATACTGTTATAGACCGTTATATTCAAACAGTTAAACAACCTAGAAGACATGAATAATTCCTTGACACATACAACCTACCAAGATTGAATTATCAAGAAATAGAAAATCTGAACAAACCAATAATGAGTAATAACACTGGATCAGTAATAAACAGTCTCCCAGCAAAAAAAGGAAGCTCAGGACCTGATGGCTCCATCGCTGAATTCTAACAAAGACTGAAAGATGAATTAATACCAACTGTTCTCAAACTTTTCCAAAAATTTCAAGAGAACAGAGTAATTCCAATCTCATTTTATGAGGCCAGCATTACACTAATATCAAAGCCAGACACAGACAAGGATACTACAAAAAATGAAAACTACAGGCCAATATTTCTGAAGAACACAGATGCAAAAAACCTCAACAGAACACTAGAATACCAAACACAACAGCACATTAAAAAGATTATTCATCATGATCAAGTGGGATTCATCCAGGAGATGCAAGAATGAGTTAACATATGCAAATCTGTAAATGTAATGCATCACATGAACAGAATGAAGGATAAAAATCACATGATAATTTCAACTAATACAGAAGAAGCATTTGACACAATTCAACATCCTTTCATGTGAAAAACTCTCAACATATTAAGTATAGAAGGGATATACCTGGATAAAATAAGGCCATATATGTCAAACCCATAGCTAACATTATACTGAATGGGGAAAGGCTAAAAGCTTTTCCTCTAAGATTCAGAACAAGACAAGGATGCCTATTCTTGCCACTTCTATTCAAAATAGTAATGAGTCCTGGCCAAAGCAATTAGGCAAGAGAAAGAAATAAAAGGTATACAAATTGGAGAAGAAATCAAATTGTCCTGGTTTGCAGATGACATTATCTTATTTATAGCAAACCCTAAACACTCCATCGAAAAACTGTTAGAATTAATACATAAATTCAGTAAAGTTGCAGGATACAAAAATCAGTAGAATTCCTACAGAGTAACAGCAAACTATCTGAAAACTAATTTTTTAAACCCCATTTAAATCCCATTAGCTACAAAAGATAAATACTTAGAAATAAATTTAACCCATGAGGTGAAAGATCTCTCCACTGAAAACTATAAGACATTGATGACAGAAATTTAAGAAGATACAAATAAGTGGAGTGATATACTGTGTACATGGATTGGAAGAATTAATATGTTTAAATGTCTATACTACTCAAAGAAATCTACAGATCACAACACAATCCCTAACAAAATTCCAATGACATTCTTCACAGTAATAGAAAAAAAAATCCTAAGATTCATATAGAGCCACAAAGGATCCCAAATAGGTGAAGCAATCTTGAGCAAAAAGATCAAAGCTGGAAGCATTACACTATCTGACTTCAAAATCTAGTGCAATGCTAAAGTAACCAAAACAACATGAGATCAGCATAAAAACAGACATATAGACCAATGGGATAAACAGAACAGAAATAATTCCATGTATTTAGAGCCAACTGGCATTCAACAAAGGTGCCAAGAACATACAATGGGGAAAGAACAGTCTCTTCAAATAAATGGTTTTGGAAAAACTGGATATCCACAACATGCAGAAGAATGAAATTAGAGATTAGACTTTTATCTCACACCACCATACATAAAAATAAACTAAAAATGGATTAAAGACTTAAATTAAACTACTAGAAGAAAACAAAGGGGAGCAGCTCCATGACACTGGTTTGGGCAATGATTTTTTGGATAAAACCCCAAAAGCAAAAGGAACAAAAGCAAAAATAGATAAATGGGATTACATCAAACTAAAAAACATCTGCAAAACAAAGGAAACAATCAACAGTATGAAAGGGCAACCTACAGAATGAGAGAAAGTATTTCGCAAATCACACATCTCATAACATATATGCATATATGTATATGTGTGTGTATATATACAGATATGTATACAGCCTGTATACATATACACATACATATGTAAATACACATATATATGTGAATTTTGCACAACTCAATAGCAAAAAGAAAAAAAAATTTAAATGGACAGGGGACCTAAATAGACATTTCTCAAAAGAAGACATGCAAATGACTAACAGGTATATGCAAAGGTACTCAACATCACTAATCATAAGGGAAATGGAAATCACAACTACAATGAGATATCATCTCACACCCATTAAAACGGCTATTACCAAAAAGCAAAAGTAAGTGTTTCCAAGGATGTGGAGAAAAGGGAACCCTTGAACACTATTGGTAGATATACAAATTGGTACAACCACTATGAAAAACACTATGGTGGTTCCTCAAAAAATTAAAAATAGAACTACCATATAATCTAGCAATCCTACTACTGCATATATATCCAAAGGAAATGAACCAGTATGTCAAAGGGACAGCTGCACTCCCATGTGTACTGCAGCATTATTCACAATAGCCAAAATATGGAACCAACCAGTGTCCACTGAAAGATGAATGGATAAACAAAATGTGCTTTATCTAAACAATTATTATTCAGTCATAAAATGGAATGAAATACTGACACCTGCTATATCATGTATCAATGTAGATGAAACAATATGCTCAGAAAACACTGTGCTAAGTGAAAGAAGCCAGACACAAAAAGTCACATTTTGTATGATTCCATTTATATGAATTATGCAAAATAGGTAAAGCCATAGAGATAGAAAGCAGATTAGTGGCTGCCAGGGGGAAGGGAAAGGGGAGAACAGAGAGTGACTGCTTAATAGGTATAATATTTCCTCTTGGATGACGAAAATGTTTAAGAACTAGATAGAGGTGATGGTTGCCCAAAATTGTGAATGTACTAAAATGCCACTGAGTTGTACATGTTTAAGTTTTCATGTTATTTTCATGTTATGTGAATTTTACCTTAGTTTTAAAAGTGAGCTGTTCTCATGTTTTAGTCAACTGACTAACTTGACCGAATAATGTCATAGTTACAAGTACAAATCTTAAAGTCAGATAGCCTGGACTCAGATCTCAGCTTTGTCACTTTAAGCTGAGTGAGCTTAGCAAGTGATGATGCTCTCTGTGTCTCAGTTTCTCATCCTTAAAACCAAGTTAATAAGAGTATTCATGGGATTGTAAGACTCAAATAAGTTAACATATTTGAAATACTTGGAATGTTCTTAGCATATAGTAAGCACTAAATAAATATTAGCTAAAAATAATTATTATGTTTATGGCAATCATAGAAAAAAACAGTTTCATACAGAAGCAAGACTGAGAATTCTAAGATGCTTTTTTCAAAGATAATAAAAATTAAGAAATTTACTATTAATAAACCATACCCTAGAAGCACATGATACAAGGTCTTAAAAGTAAACATCTGTCATTTAGCTCTAGTTTGTATAAAAAGAGTATTGAGCACAGAGCCATATGATATGTGCTTTTTGTGAGGTCAGTTATTGCTCAGCAGCAACCATGTAGTAAATAGAGCAGATACCCCACTATTTCCAAAAAAAAGCAGTGGTAAGGGGTACAGCAACAAAAAAAAACAAGAATTGAATGATGTCAAATGAGAAACAGGACATGACGTAACAATCATGAAAATTCTAAAGTCACAGGAGATCATTTGAAACTTCTCATAAGATACTTCAAGAAGATATTTCTGCAGCCAACAGACACATGAAAAAATGCTCATCATCACTGGCCATCAGAGAAATGCAAATCAAAACCACAATGAGATACCATCTCACACCAGTTAGAATGGCGATCGTTAAAAAGTCAGGAAACAACAGGTGCTGGAGAGGATGTGGAGAAATAGGAACACTTTTACACTGTTGGTGGCACTGTAAACTAGTTCAACCATTGTGGAAGACAGTGTGGTGATTCCTCAAGGATCTAGAACTAGAAATACCATTTGACCCAGCCATCCAATTACTGGGTATATACCCAAAGGATTATAAATCATGCTGCTATAAAGACACGTGCACACGTACGTTTATTGCAGCACTACTCACAATAGCAAAGACTTGGAACCAACCCAAATGTCCAACAATGATAGACTGGATTACGAAAATGTGGCACATATACACCACGGAATACTATGCAGCCATAAAAAATGATGAGTTCATGTCCTTTGTAGGGACATGGATGAAGCTGGAAACCATCATTCTCAGCAAACTATTGCAAGGGCAAAAAACCAAACACCGCATGTTCTCACTCATAGGTGAGAAGTGAACAATGAGAACACTTGGACACAGGAAGGGAACATCACACACTGCGGCCTGTTATAGGGTGGGAGGAGGGGGGAGGGATAGCATTAGGAGAGATACCTAATATAAATGACGAGTTAATGGGTGCAGCACACCAACATGGCACATGTATACATATGTAACAAACCTGCACGTTGTGCACATGTACCCTAGAACTTAAAGTATTAAAAATATATATATATATGCAAAGAATAAAATAGAAAAAATAAAATAGAAAAAAAAGGCTATAATTACAACTAAAAAATTTAAAAAATTAATTGAGGGCAGGTGCAGTGGCTCACGCCTGTAATCCCAGCACTTTGGTAGGCTGAGGCGGGCAGATTACTTGAGGTCAGGAGTTTGAGACAAGCCTGGCCAACATGGCGAAACCCCATCTCTACTAAAAATACAAAAAAAAGTAGCCAAGCATGGTGGCGCACACCTGTATCTGGCTACTCAGGAGGCTGAGGCAGGAGAATTGTTTGAACCCGGGAGGCAGAGGTTGCAGGGAGCCGAGATTTTCCACTGCACTCCAACCTGGGTGACAGGGGAGACTCTATCTCAAGAAAATAAAAAATAAAAATAATTGAAATAAAATAGAAAACAACAGCAGCCAAGTGATGCTGTCAAATTTAAATAGTTGCAAAAGTGGCACTGGAGACTATGCAACTTAGGAACCAAATGAACCAAATTCTTTTCTGCACCTTGTAGAATTTGGCCTAATGGTAACAGAGGTTAGGAATAACCACCACTTCTACCCACAACACACACACCTCCTCTGAAGATTGTAAGTAAAGCAGCTATACAGACAGAATAAACTGAGTAAGTCCAACTTCTTACCCTCTTCTGCTTCATCATCCTGGGGTGACATTGGACCCCCTCCACTAGTAGGAGTGACTGGTTCCTCCTTGTCAGACTCTCGCTGTAGACTCACCACCTCATATATTGCATCTCCAGCATTGGTATGGCCTTTTCCCTCAGACTGAGAAAAATATAACAGTATATTTAAGTATTAGAAATCTGAAGGAAACATTGAAAGATAGTATTTAAATAATGCATTCAAAAGAGCTGCAATGAAGAATGGCGTGTTGTGTTTGATCTACAGCATGTCTGAGGTTCTGAAAACTTTTAAGGTGCACTGTCCTTCACAGGATATTCTAAATTTATGTTCCTCTAGTATTATTTTTAACTAATATGATGAAACCTACTAATTATTTTTGGAGAACTCAATTTCTTTTCATCAGAAAAACCTGAGACACCAGAGGTTCTAGGACAGACAGATAAGCAAGTGATGCTAGACTCTTAACTGACTACCTTACACGAACCTAAAGTATATAGCTCAAAGAATTTTTACAACTGTATACAGTTGGGGAACCACATGCATACCAATATGCCTTCCTATATTATACCCATCCCTGATAGGTAGCCACAGATATAGTTGTTATATTTTTTGTTAAAGATATATTTGCTATATGTATAAAAATATATATGTGGGTTACATATATAAATATATATGGATTTAATTTGCTAATCAAATTATAAATTATATATATTAGCAAATCGAATCATTTTATACATATACATAAAACAATTTCAAATAAATATATATTCAAATATATTTCAAATCAAATATATATAAACCAAATTACAAATTTTATACATATACACATACAAAATACATCACAACCAATAGGATTTAGTTGGGGAATGCCAAGCTGGTTCAACATTGGAAAAATCAATCAGCATAATCCACTATATTAATAGACTAAAGAAGAAAGACCTTATGTTCATATCAATTAATGTCATAATCAAAATAAAGGGCATTTGAGAAAATTCAGCATTCATTCATGTTAAAAATGCTCAGTAAACAAGTAATACAAGCACGTTTCCTCAACCTGATAAAGAGTATCTAAGAAAAATCTACAAGTAACACTATGTTTAAAGGTAAAAGGCTGAATAATTTCCCCCTGAGATGGAGAAAGAAGGAAGAAAGTCCACTGTCACCACTCTCATTCAACATCCCATGGAAGCCCTGTCCAGTGCATTACGGCAAGAAAAAGTATACAGATTGGAAATAAAACTGTTCTTATTTACAAACAATATAACTGTCTTTCTCAGAAGTTGACAAATGTTTTGTATAAACAACTCAACTCTGATGTTGTAGTACAAAATTGTACAATAGTGGTAAAATATTTCATCTGCACTTAGTTTCCTATACAAGCAGAATCTGAACTACTTTGATCTCATATAGAATCTAAATATTGCACCTAAAAACTGAGTTTCAAATAAGTGTATTTTTATTAAAATACACTACTTGTTCCCAATATTCACATATTTTAGATAACTAAAAAATCAATCTGTATTTGTAAAGAAAATTGCCTGGTTCATATTAGCATTCATTACAGCTTAGCAACATGTAAACAGGAGCTCAATAAATGTGCGTTGGCTAAGTCACATTACAAAGATTCATCACATTTATGCAAATAAATTCTAAAACCTTTTTCAATATGGCATGCCATCATCAAATATTAAATACAAAGTACAATATGCTGATATCTCTATAAATTCTCTAAAGTTACAAGTCTCAACAGTGGCTATAAATGAGGAAACCAGACCTGAGGCTTTTTATATTTTAAACACTAATGCCTAATCCTTAGGGCAGGATTTAGGAATCTGGATTTTTTTTTTTAAGGTTCACAAGTTAATCTGATGCAAAGCTGAATTGAGAACCATTGCCTACAAGACCTGTTATTTTCAACAAGAATGTCTATATAAAACATGTAACAGAATCAAATATTCTCACTAAGCTACAGATACATTAAATCACATGAAAAAAAATACATGTCCAAGCAGCTTCTATTTACCTCTGCAGAGGTGACACTAAAGAACGCCAATGCTAATCAGAAGCACTAAGTTAAAAAAAAAAAGAAAATGCCCCCAACAGATATTTTCTCACAACTTTATAAGTACTCCACAACCTTGTTAATTTTCATCTTTCTGCAGTTAGAATAGTTATTCTTATTATTTGGTTACTTTTGGTTATTTACTGACTGATCATACTTTGATTTAAGTAGGTTTAAACCAACATGCATCTTCAAATAGGAATTTTCCTTTTATGCTTTTTAACTTTAATAGTTGATTAAAAGTTTTGTCTCCAACTTAAAGGAATGTCAAGGCACTCAAAAGCAAAGAAGATATTTGGAGGAGAGGGCAAGAAAACATTTGATATTTTAATATCAAACCTACACTTAGCACAGATCAAAAAAGTAGCTTACTTCCCTGTATCGAAAGTCAAGTCATAGAAACTTCTGAGAACAGCTAACTCCTGTCCTGACCTGAAGCCTATCCTTTTCTTATGGGCAAGCCTCTTCTCTCCAAACTATCTCTTGCCTGAAAATAAAAAACAGGAAGTTGGCATGTGGAAAACAGATTTATCAAGAGAAAAGTTTCTGCTCCTCCTTAACTCTTCACCTGAAGTACCATTTCATGTCTTTTTACCATTATGGCTCCTCTCAATTCATTCTAACTTTCCTTCCTCTCTTGTTTCTTGAGACCTCTCTCTTTTCTGAATCCAAATTCTGTCCCAAGCCAGACACAAAAAGCAAGTAAAGTATTTAGAAAAATGCTCAGTACACAGTAATAACAAGTGTTATTTCTTGTTATCATTTTGTGCTGTTGATGTAACACTATGAGGCATGAGAGAGTCTAACCTATAGTACAATATGCAAGTAATGTTCAGGAATAATGAAGCAGCAAAAGTGGCTTCTGTGTCCTAATCTACCACTACTCTGGAAATCCTGAAAAAATAATTACTATGGTAATAACAATAAGGATAGCAAGAATTCAATCCTAACAACAATCCAAGCTTGTCCGTATCTTAGAACTTTTACATTAGCTGATCCTTTGAAAAGTCTTTCCCTGGATCTTTATATTGACAGTGGCAGGAGGCAGACAAATCCTAGGCAGACAGGGGCAGGTCCCCAGTGAAACCCCACCTTCAAGCCAAAAGGCAGTTTAAAGCCTGAAAGACAAGTTACAAGTCAAATCCACCAACCGGACTGAGAATCTGTCTTCCCATTTGGCACACTTTCCTCTGATTGATCCCCAGCCTTCGCCTATTTTACATATACCTCCCCTTCCCTAATTAACATTTTACACTGTCATGCCCAACTTTGAGTGTTGCCTTTGTTTTAATCTTTTTGCATACTCACAAACCAATCAGCATACACTCCCCAATCTGAGCCCATAAAAGCCCTGGACCCAGCCACAATGGGAGAGAGGCCACCTGACTTTGGGTAGGGGACCACCCTTGTGTCCCCTCTCTGCTGAGATCTGTTTCATTGCTCAATTAAATTCTCCACCTTCCTCACTCTTCAATTCTCAGCGTGATCCTATTCTTCTTGGTCATGGGACAAGAACTCAGGACCCACTGAAACTGGGTACACAGAAGGCTGTAACATTGTGGCCCTCTGCCCTCTGCTGGCAGAGGGCAGCTGCCCCACACAACAGAAAGCAGCAATGGGGCTGAGCCAGGCCTGCAGCCACAGGCCAAACTGGGGCAAGGGGCTGAAAGAGTGGTTAACACACCGCCATCCATTCCAGATGGCGGTGTGTTAACAGCTCTTTCAGCCCCTTGAGCTAATTAGCATGCTGTAACACCCCCTCAGGGGCTTCGGAGTCACAGCACCCCTGCCTGGGTGCTGTGTCCTCTATCTGGACATCAGAGACCATCACAGGAGTGGGCTTGAGACATGCCTAGTCCAGCAACAAGCACTGCACAAAGCCTGCTTCTGTGTCAGCACTTGGAACAACTGGCCAGACCCCACACTTGCTTGCTCACACCCCACCTCCAACCAGAGGTTGAATACACAGTCACAGTGGCCGTGGGATCCATGACAAACTGCAGACCGGGCATGAACTGGCAGGCCAAGTGTGGGGCATCTCCTGTGATGAACCCAGGCCCAGCAAAACCCGGACAGGGGTGTTACCAACCAGAGGTCTCCGACTGGCAAAGTGACCAAGAAAAATCCTGTGTCACTATGGTGAGTTCCTTCTTGTCATTCAGTTCTCAGACATTGATTCATTCATTCATTCATTCATTTGAGATAGAGTCTCACTCTGTCACCCAGGCTGGAGTGCAGTGGCGCCACCTTGGCTCACTGAAACCTCTTCCTCCCAGGTTGAAGCAATTCTCTGCCTCAGCCTCCCAAGTAGCTATGATTACAGGCACCCACCACCATGCCTAGCTAATTTTTGTATTTTTAGTAGAGATGGGGTTTCACCCACCTTGGCCTCCCAAAGTGCTAGGAATACAGGCATAAGCCACCAGGCCTGGCTTCAAGTATTTTAAACCTTGAACATTTAACAGCCTTCCCAAAATCAAACTTCAGTTTCAAAACCGTGTTCCCTGGCACCTCACTTTTTTTTTTTTTTTTTTTGAGATGGAGTTTCACTCTTGTTACCCAGGGTGGAGTGCAATGGCACATTCTCGGCTCACTGCAACCTCCACCCCACCACCGAGTTCAAGGGATTCTCCTGCCTCAGCCTCCCAAGTAGCTGGGATTACAGGCATGCGCCACCACAACCTGCTAATTTTGTATTTTTAGTAGAGATGGAGTTTCTCCACGTTGGCCAGGCTGGTCTCAAACTCCCGACCTCAGGAGATTCACCAGCCTCGGCCTCCCAAAGTGCTGGGATTACAGGCATGAGCCACCACTCCCAGCCAGCACCTGGCTTTTCAAATACTTCAGGGGACCCTGAAGTGTCCAGAAAAAGAGAGGTAAACAGGATTATTTGACATGTTTAGGTATATGGGATTGCCAAAATGATGTTCTGTCTTCTTTAGGTTATATTTTTGTGAATAATGATAATATATGTTCAAAAATCATACGGGATTTCTAAAATTCTAATGTCTAAGTATATGCTGTCAACCATAATCAATGTTAAGTTATCATAAACCACAGAAATAACCACACTTATTTGTCAATTGTGTTTCTAACTGTAACCACCCTGGGTATTTTGCTACTCACAGACAATTGTTGTCTTATTTTAATCCTTTTCAAAAGATGGTTTATAATAAGCTATAGAACTTTAACAGTCGCTCTCAAACACAGACTTCTGATAACTTTGGAGACTGTAACATTTTAATAAAGGAAAATGTACAGGACTCATGAAGAGCTGAAATATTCATGAATATCAAGCAAAACAAGAGTTAACTAAATGCACTGAACTCAGAAAGCCAAAGCAACCTTTTTGACTTTTACTTGGAATACTGCTGATCCTTGCTTTGTTTTTCAGAGTCAAGGAAACTTATTTTGAACTATTTATGGCCTTTAATAATTGAGTAAGGTATATTCCTATGATCAAGATTTGGAGCATGTTTGTTTCTCTCTGCCTGGTTCCGCCAGAATTTGAAAACTATCTGTGAGCCTTCTTATGGCAATATAGCTGTTTGCATCAGTGCAGTAAGAATTCATTTTTCTTTTGCAACAGAGCACAATTGGAGAAAGTGGTTATTTTACTGAGGCTGAGTCAATCTCAAATTGCAGAGCCCATAAAAGCCCAGTGAGAAACTGGCCACCTACCCTTGTCTACACAGTCCCTGTACAGAGTTCCTGACCTGTGGTCAGTAAAGAATGTCACTTGCTAACAGGTCCAGGAGCTCCAAGTTTATCTTGGGACCCTAAGAGGAGAGAATCACCCAACTCACAAGTGTTTGAGGATACAAACCCATGATTAGGCTCAGACTTAAAAGGTCTTATCTGAGATTCCTTATGGAACAAACTTCCATCAAAACCAATCCAAAAGGCCTATGTAGAAATAATTATTCTTGCTGCACTTTATGCAAATAATCAGGCCAAGTATAAAACTAAAGTCTATTTTGCAAACCACTCAGTCCTATGACGATTTGTTTTTTAACATGAGGACTAGACAGAGAGAAATCACGTTTCAAAACTTATATTTGCCATTAAATTCTAAACTGATTCGTTGTTTTTAAGTTTTCACCTACATTTTAGACTAACCCTGCTTGTTCCTGTGAACTAACCAGCAATTTCTGGCTGCAGCTCAGAAAGAACAAAAGGGATGGGTAATGTACAAGTCTGGATCAATATTCTAGTTCTGAGCAATTATCCTGCAAATCCTGCCAGATGATGGGAATAAATAGGATGATCATCACTCAGAGGTTTCCTTTTGGGAAAGTAAGACCAAGGGAGGTAAACAAAGCCAGGCACCATGTACCCAGATCTTAGCACCAGTTATCTGGGTGTGTCACAAGACATCCTTTCCTCTCCCTTGTTGGAGGAGGACTCAGTTCCACAGTTTCACCTTAGCATTTGGCTTATGATAAGGAGTCCATTCAACCCCCTTAAGACACATTTCTGCCCCAGACTCAATTCCAAATTTTGGGTCAAAGCCATAGGAAAGAAAATTGGATCTGAAGGATCCAAAGGCAGACAATAAGGGAAGTTAAAAGGCACAGCGCAGGTGAGTGTGGCTGATTCCTTCCTATTAAGCCAAGCCCAAGCTTCCTATTTGGATAAAGGCCACATCAGTATCCATGGCATAAATCAGGTCTAGGGAACTCCAAGGCTACTGACAGTAGGTGAGAAAGAGACATAGGTGAGAGCAGATAATTCCAATTCTCAGGTCCCCCTGCTTCATGAGTGCAAGCAGCTTTGGTACTCATGGTGGCACCTGCCAAGGTCACCAGAACTCGGGGATGCAAGGACAGAAGACGGAAAGAGGACGCTCTTCCCTCTCTCCCTCAGGTACCCTGGGTATCTGCTAGGAAGAGAAGGGAACCAGGGACGCCTGCTCCCCTCTTTCTAGATGGGTAGCCATTTATCTTCAGTCTGTTCCCCTTTAAAATACACCCTGGACCCCTAGGAGTCCTTTAAAAGGCACCCTCTTTTTTCCTTTTTTCTCCTCTGTCCTCTCTTCACTGATAGGTGACTGTGTCTCTGTACTATGGGACACGTCCCTCGGATGCATCCTCCAAACTGGAAAGAGTTAATTTCCCAGCCCTTACACTGGTTGGCTTAGGATTGGCCTCAGGGAAAGGGAACCCAAAAACCCAACATGCCAGCAAAAGGGTAAAGTGTTTTTGCCAGTCAGGCTTTTGCCCTCCGGCCTTGGGATTTTTGAGCTGCCCTTACCTGTGCCCTTGTTTCATTTTTATATATGTCTTCTAATAACCCGGTTTGTCTATTCTTGCCTTCAGGCCATCAAACTCCAAACAATCATGCAACCAGAGCCTCTGACGATGGCCCCTTCTGCTGGAAACCCTTAGATAGGTCTCTGAGGGAGCTCTGCCATTTCCCCCAAAACAGCACCCCCTATCAGCAGGAAGCAGTTAAGATCGGTCTTAGTCCTTATCCTTAATCTAACAGCAGTTAGATATACTTCTTTAGAGAGGGGAATGAGACAGCCAGGTGCAAGGGCCGCCCCAGAAAAACTCCAACCGTAATGCTCATTGGAGTGGAACTCGAGAAGTTCGCCCTGTTTGCAGCAGGAGGAACCTGGCCCTTCCTCTTCCTGTGTGGAACCTGGAATTTGAAGAGCCGGCGGGAGGCGCTCTAGCACTCTGGCCTAGCGAGAGTCCCTGCTTCCCCCTTTTCTTCCTTTTCACCCAATAAAATCCTGCTTTACTCACCCTTCAAACCATCTGCAAGCCGAAATTTCTGTGGCGTGGGACAGACAAGGACCCCGTCTTTAGCTGAACTAAAGAAAACCTGCAACACTATGTCATGTAAAACTTAAATAAATTTCTATGTTTTTCTCTTGTTATTCTGTCTTTTGTTATAGGGAGTCTTAGCCATAAACCTAAGACACTAAGAAATGTTTTCTCCCTTACAACTCACTTCAATACAATATAGTACATACTCAGAAATAAGTAGTAGCACCTAAATGTGCCTGGTGTCTTATCATTGTTTTGCCTAAACATCACCAGCAGAATACAGAATTATTCCATAATTCAAAAAATTATGCAAGGTAAAACAAAGCAAACCAAAACAAAACAAATACTTAAAAAGGTACTTGTTTTTTATTTGTATTATAATCAGTTCCCTATCAAAGAATCCTGTCACTAAACACCTTATGGATAAAGATGCATGACATTTATTTCCAGTAACAGGAGAAGAAATAATAGCCCATTAAATCATTTCTTAAGCAATTTATCAGAGTAGCAACAGCTGGTATCAACATAAAGTTATGAGTATTTCCAATATGAATTCTATATTGGGGTCCTTAAAAACTCATTAAAAAAACTTTGAATTGACATGTTAAGCACATAAAACTGAAAGCAAGGGAACTTTCCGAAATTCTCATTTTTCTTTCAGCTGTCTTCAAATACCTTCAATAAATTACAAAAAAAGAAAATACCAAGTGATGCATAATTTCTGAATTACACCAAATCTGCCGAAGAAATTAACTTCTAAAATATCTGTTACGCAATTCCTATAAATGTTGGCGACAAGCAGTTTTTACACTTGAGTCCATATTTTAATGGAATGTTCATTCAGTAGTATCACTAGCAGAAGAGTTTGGCTTCCAAACTCAGGAAAAGTACAAGAAGAGAGTAAATTACATAAAATAAAGTAAAATCTATCCTAATACTTTGGATTTGTACCCAGCATCTCTTTTGTCTCCAGATGCACAGAGGGCTGGGAGTTAAATCAACTAACGCTAAATCAACTGCAATCTGACTTCTGTCCCACTATTCCTCAGAAATTGTCCAAGTCTTAAGAGTTTAAGAACACTGTCTCTTATTTACCAATTAAATCCCTAAATAAGCTCCTTGCAGTAACTGATACTTTAGGCATTCTCTCCTGCTGGAAACTATTTCCTCTCTTGCCTTTCCTGACATCATGTTCTTATGATTTTACCCCCAGATCTGTGTTATCCTTCTATATTTATTTGGCTCAATCCTCCTCCTCTCCAATTTTTTAAACGTCTGTGTTTCCCAAGGCTTAGCCTTCACTCCTCATTCAATACTTAGGCTCTGGGTGATTTCATCTACTGCTTTTCATCATTCTCAACACTGACCACTTTTTAAATCTTTATTTCCCAAGCTTAGGTTACAAATATCCAACTGCTTGCTAAACATCTCTACCTGGGAGTCACACAGGAACAATAAATTCAACATTATCAGGCCACTTGTGGTAGCTCACACCTATAGTCCCAGGACTTTGAGAGGCCAAGGTGGGAGGATCACTTGAGCTCAGGTGTTTGAGACTAGACTGGACAACATAGTGAGACCCCACTGCTACCAAAAAAAAAAAAAAAGGCTGGCTGCGGTGGCTCATGCCTGTAATCCCAGCACTTTGGGAGGCCGAGGCAGGTGCATCACAATGTCAGGAGTTTGAGACCAGCCTGGCCAACATAGTGAAACCCCGTCTCTACTAAAAATACAAAAAAAATTAGCCAGGCCTGGTGGTGGCCACCTGTAGTCCCAGCTGCTGGGAGGCTGAGGCAAGAGAATCGCTTGAACCCATGAGGAGGAGGTTGCGGTGAGCTGAGATGGCGCCACTGCACTCTGACCTGGGTGACAGAGTGAGACTCCATTTCAAAAAAAAGAAAGAAAGAAAAACTAGCCAGGTGTGGTGGCACACACCTGTAGTCCCAGCAACTTGGGAAGCTAGGCAGAAGGACTGCTTGAGACCAGGAGTTCAAGGCTGCAGTTAGCTATGACTGCGCCACACCACTCCAGCATGTACAACAGTGAGACTTTGTCTCCAAAAAAAAAAAAAAAAGTCCGGGCGCAGTGGCTCATGCCTGCAATCCCAGCATTTTGGGAGGCCAAGGTGGGCGGATCATGAGGTCAGGACATCGAGCCCATCTTGGCTAACACGGTGAAACCCCATCTCTACTAAAAATACAAAAATTAGCCGGGCATGGTGGCACGCACCTGTAGTCCCAGCTACCCAGGAGGCTGAGGCAGGAGAATCACCTGAACCTGGGAAACAGAGGTTGCAGTGAGCCAAGAGCACACTACTGCACTGCAGCCTGGGCTACAGAGGGAGACTCTGTCTCAAGAAAAAAAAAAAAATTCAATGTATCAAAAACTTCACTACCTTTCATCACCTCAAAACTTTTCTTTCAGGAACTCTATCTCAATCAAGAGCATCAACAACCACCCAGTCACCTGAAAATAATCACACCTTTCTTCCTTTCCCTCAACCTCACATGAAATCAGACACCAAATCTTGTTTATCTTTACTTCCCTAACATCTCTCAAATTTGTCTTTTCCACCATCCTCACTGCCACTGCCTTTCTTGAGGCTATCATCATTTCTTATCTTGGCCACAATAGCCTTCTTACTTTTTATTTACCAGTCTCGATATCCTTTTCACTGTAGTAACAGTGACCTTTCTCAATTAAAAATCTAGAGTCATTCAGAAGTTAAAACCCTTCAGTGGTTCCTCCGTACCTGAGGATAGTCTCTAAATTCCTGACATGGTAATGACCTATCTATCTGTTCAGAGTAATTGCCCACCCAAGTCCACTGATGCTCCATCAATATCTGATTTCCCACAAATCCTGAATATACAATGTTGGATCAGAGATTTATGAAGTTAACCAACTATTGTCTCTGACTGAAATCCCCTTCTTTGCTTTGTCACACTTCAAACACCTGACCTATCCACCAGAATTAGTTCTTCAATTCATTGATTCATTAATTCATTTATGTTAGGCTGACTACACAAAGGACTCTGCCCAAAAGGAATACAGACTAGATAGAAGACAAACAGGTAGTCAATTAATAATACTAACAACAATAATAACTCATATTTGTTGTTTATCAGGTAGCAAGCATTGTTCTAAGGGTCTTAAATGAATTAGTATTTATTCACTATGACAATCTTTTGGGGTGGCATAATTATAATCCCCATTTCAGAGACTACTAATATCTTGCCTAAGGTTATACAGCTGTGAAACATACACCAGAGTAAACTGGATACAAACCTAGGATGTCTAACTGAACTCCAATAAGGGTGATAAGGGTGATGAGTGAGTGCTGCTTCTGAACTATGTATATACTTCTATTGTTCCATTATCATCTAGTATTGTAACATTTTTACCAGTATATTGTTTACTGTTTTAGAACAGAGAATAGATAATACTCATTCAAATATCCCCAACATAGCATAATGCCTATCACATAATGCATAATGCCTACCACACTGTAGGCACTCAATAAGTGTTTAATAAACTAAACTAAACATTGAAAATCATTTCTAAAATGAATACCGGCATCTCAGTGAAATTGTAAGTGATACAGGACTTTGGCCTTTCCTGCTCAATATAGTGACACTTCAAGTAGAAATGCCCTCTTCATTTCTTTACCTTGACCCCTAATAAAACCTAGACTAAAGGAAAGAATCTTATTAAAGTCACTACCAATAAGGACAATACAACTAGTAAAAGTTATTATGACCTATTTCCTGGAGATGTTGACATTTTAACAACCAGTAAAGCTTTAAGCCAGTGGAGTTAGCATGTAACAAGAAAATACCAAATGTTCATTCATTTAGAAAGGCTTTTAGAGCAGAAATCTTTTTGGCAAACAGTTTTCAAATAACCCCATATGAGCAGAGTGCTCTTCATGGATCAGGATCATAAATCACTGAATTTTACCAGCCAAGAGCCTATTTTGTTAAAGGAGTAAGGGCAAGTACACTGTCAATGTTTCCAATGTTACAAGTCCTTAGATTTTCTTTACAAACTCTTCATATAACTAATTTAAATAGTGATACCAGCATCAAGATGGTGCAAGTAAGGAAAAACCAAATTGAAGAAGAATATAACCAAAAAAAACTACTGTTCATGAAAAAAAGTTTTCAGGAAAAAAAAAAATCCTAATTTTAGTGTTAGATTATCATAATTTTCCACTTTCCATAAACATTTTATGTGTAAGTTTTAGGGTCAAACTGCTTAGATTCAATTCCTGGTCCACCACCTAATAACCTACCTGTGCCTAAGTACAAATCCAGAGAATGGAGGTAATAATGGCACTTACACCTCAATAGAGATTACTGAAGATTACACAAATTAATCCATGTAAAGTGCTTAGAAGAGGGTATGGTATGTAGTAAACTAATTAAAAAATAATTAGTAGTGGCTATTACTACTGTTGCTTACAGTAATAGTCATAGAAATTGTTGATCTACTGAGTAAAGATCACAGGAAAATCTTATTATAGAACTTGACATAATGGACATTTATAGGATACTCCACTCAACAACTGCAGAGCACACATCCCTTACAAGTACTCTTGAAAAATTCACAGTAGACCATATGCTGAGTCATAAAATAAGTCTGAACAGTTTAAAAGAATTCAAATCATATAGAGTATACTCTGTGACCAAAATGAAACTAAATCAGAAGTCAATAGCAAAAAAAAGGAAAATCTAAAAATATTGGAAAATCAAACAATATGCTTCTGAATGACCCATAGGACACAAAAGAAATAACAAGGGAAATTAGAAAATATTTCAAATATAATTAAAATGAACACACAATATATTAAGGTTCATGGAATGCAGCTAAAGCAGTGGTTAGAGGGAAGGTTTAAACCTTAGAAATACAAAAGTATTAGGAAAAAAGCAGTAAAAAAAAAAAAAAAAAAAAAAAAAAAAGATTAGGTAGGTGCAATGGCCCACACCTGTAATCCTAGCACTTTGGGAGGCCAAGGCAGGAGAACTGCTTGAGCAATTTGAGACCAGCCTGAGCAACATAGCAACACCCCATCCATACAAAAATAAAAAGCCAAGCATGATGGATGTACCTGTAGTCCTAGCTACTCAGGAGGCAGAGATGGGAGACTCGCTTGAGCCCAGGAGTTCAACACTACAGTGAACTATGGTCGTGCCACTGCACTCCAGCCTGGGTGACAGAGCAAGACCCTGTCAATAATAATAATAATAATAATAATAATAATAATAATAAATGATCTAATCTTCACATGAAGCCAGAAAAAGAAACACAAGTGAAACCCAAAGCAGGAAAAATAATGAAACAACAAAGGGAATAAACTGAAGAGAAAACAGAAAAAAAAATAAGAAAATCAAACCACCCGAAATCTGGCTCTTTGGAGGGAAAATGTCAATAAGTTACAGACTTCTACCTAGACTGATTAAAACAAAGGGAGAAAACAAATAAATTAACCAATGTCAGGAATAAAGGAAGATCCTACAAACCCTATAGATGTTTAAAAAAAATAGGTCAATATTTTGTGCAATAGACCAAATAAAATTGAAACATTCCTTGAAAGACAAATCACCAACATTTCAAGAAATTTAAAAAATAATAAGTGGAATAAATCCAATATTTACTAAAGAAATTAAATTCGTGATTTAAAAGGCTTCCCATAAAGTAAACTATAGGCCCAGATGGTTTCACTGGTGAACTCTATCCAACAATTAAGGAAGAAATAATACAAATCTTATAAAAATTCTCCCAGCAAATATAGGAAGAAACAATTTCCAACTCATTTTTTGAGGTACCATACTACATGAACACTAAAATCCAACAAAGACATTATAAGAAAACTATAAACCAATGTCTCATAAAAATAGACATAAAAATTATTTTTAAAATGTATTACTGGGTCAATAAAGTGATATATAAAAAGAATACCATCATCACCAAGGGTGACTTTTCCTAAGGAATGCAAGGTTGGCTTAATGTTTAAAAAAAATCAATGTAATTCAATATATTGATAAGAAAAAAAGGGGGAAAAACCACAAAGATGCAGAAAAATATTTGATAGAGTTTCAACACTGTTCACAGGGGGAAGAAAAAAACTAAGCAAGAGAAGAAAAAGAATTTATAGGCATTCAGATAGAAAACTACCTTTATTGGCAGACAACATGATAATATATAGAGAAAGCATTAAGAATCTAAAAGAGCTGGGCACAGTGGCTCATGCCTGTAATCCCAGCATTTTAAAAGGCTGCAGTGGGAGGCTTGCTTGAGTCCAAGAGTTCAAGACCAGCCTGGGCAACATAGCAAGAGCCATCTCTACAAAAAATTAAAACTTAGCCAGGTGTGGTGGCACATGCTTGTAGTCCCAGCTACTCGGGAGGCTGATGCAGGAGAATCACTTGAAACCAGGAGGCAGAGGCTGCAGTGAGCCGAGATCTCGCCATTGCACTTCAGCCTGGGCAACAGGAGCGAAACTCAGTCTCAAAAAAAAAAAAAACCAAGAAAAAGAAAACAAGTTAATTTAGCAAAGTTGCGGGAAATATGGCTAATATACAAAAATCAAGTCTTTATGTATTCTAAAAATAAACAATAAAAAATTAAAATTTAAAGAATACAATTTATAGTAATATCAAAAACATGTGTGTTCTGAGGAATGACATCAGCAAGATGGCAGAATAGGAGGTCCCAAGCTCTAGTCCCCATCACAGAAATACCAACTAGCAACTATCTACATACAAGAACATCTTTGCAAAAATTCCAGAAGCACAAAACTTAGAAAAGTTGTATTGGAAGTATAAGTGGAGCAATTTCAATTTGATGATGTTGCCACTACCCCAGGCCAAAACAGCCTCATGCCAAGAGAGATTTGCTGAGTCTATGGTTTCACCAGCAGCACAAGGTGAACATCTAGCTTTCCCAATATTCCAGCATGCTTCCCAAAAGGCCAAATTATATCTCTTCTCCTACAGAATATTGAGAATTGTCAGGACTAGACCACATGCAACAAGCACATGTATCTTGGCAATGGCACCACACATCCCTGCTGACAGCTTCACCTGACAAGGAGCCCAGGCAGCAGCTCCTCCCACCTGCAAAGCAATCCTGGCACCCAGTCTGGCCAGGGAGTATGGTTGGCAGTACTGGGTGTCTAGGTTTCCCAGTCAGCAATCCAGCCCAGCTGCAAAGCACAGATGGCAACCATGCCCAGGCAGGGAACCAAGCCAGCAGCCCAGAGTATAACCTGCAATCCCACCCAACCAGGGAGCCTAGCCAATGACTACATCAAACAGTGGGGCACAGCTTCCAGCCCCAACCAATCAGGGAGTCCAATCAGTATCCCTACCTGACTGTAATGCCATCCAGCTGTAGAGCCCAGCCAGCAACCCCGCCTAACTTTGGGGCACAGCCTGCAGCCTCACCCAACCAGAGGCAATTACAAAGCCCAACCAACAGTCCCACTTGACCTCAGATACCAGTCAGGGGGCCTGCCCAACAAGAGAGCTCCACCCAACCTTAGAGCAACGGCAGCAGCCCCACCAGATCAGAGACCCCAGCCTCACTTACCTGCATATGCTACCAGCTGGCCCAACCAGAAGCCCAGGCTTGGCAGACTAGTAAAGATCTTTCCTTGCCAAAGTGAACATGTAAAGGCTAGAAGAGGTGATCACTTCCTAAATTGTGCAGACACTAATACAATGATATGAGGATCACAAAGAATCAGGGAAACATGATACCACTAATGGAAACTAATAAAGCTGTAATAACTGACCCTAAACAAATGAAGATATGTAACTAACAAAGAATTTAGAATAATACTCTTAAAAATCAGTGAACTACAAGAAAACACAGACAACTAATCAGAAAAACAATACATTAACAAAATAAGTTCAACAAAGTAATAAAAACCATTTTTAAAATCCAGCTAGGCACAGTGGCTTATGCCTATAATCCTACCACTTTGGGAGGCCAGGCGAGAAGATCTCTTGAGACCAGGAATTCAAGACAAGCCTAAGCAAAACAGCAAGACCCTGTCTCTACAAAAGTTATTTTTAAAAAATTAGGTGGGTGTGGTGGCCCATGCCTGTTTTTCTAGCTATTTGGGAGGCTAAGGTGGGATCATCACTTGAGCCCTGGAGTTCGAAGTTACAGTGAACTATGATTGTGCCACTGCATTCCAGGCTGGGTGACACAGTGAGACCCTGCACCCTCTTTACAAAAAATCATAAAGCTGAAGAATACAATGACTGAATTTAAAAATTTAATAGCATGCTTCAACAGCAGACTTGGCCAAGCAGAAGAATAAAAAATCAGTGAACTCAAAGATGAGTCACTTAAAATTATCCAGTTAGAGAAGCAAAAACAAACAAACAAAGAGTGAAGAAAGTCTACAGGATACCTGGAACACCATCGAGCAAAACAACATAAGCATTCCAGAAGTATCCGAAGGAAAAGAGACAGATAAAGAGACTGAAAAATCTATATAAAGAAATAATGGCTGAAAAGATCCCAAATTTAGGAAAAGAAGAGGACAGTCAAAGTTATGAGACCCATAGATTTCCAAACAGGCTGAAAAGTCTACACCAGGACATAGTATAATTAAATTGTCAAAAGTCAAAGACAAAGAGAGAATTATGAAAATGGCAGGAGAAAAGCACCTTGTCACATACAAAAGAGCCCTTGTAAGACTGTAAGTGGATTCCTCAGCAGATACCTTGCAGGAGAGGAAACAGTGGAATAATATATTCAATATATTGAAAGAGAAAAGAAATCCTCAACCAAGAATACTATACCTGGCAAAGCTGTACAGCAGAAATGAAAGAGAGAAAGACTTTCCCCAACAAACAAAAACTAAAGGAGTTCATCATCACAAAGATCTGCCTTATAAGAAATGCCAAAGTTCTTCAAGTTGAAATGAAAGGATACTAATTAACAATGTAAAAACATATAAATGTATAAAACTCACTGGTAAAAGCAAATAGATAGTCAAAATCAGAATTCTCTAATATTCTTGTGGTGGTATGTATATCACTTTCAACTCTAGTATAAAAGTTAAAAACAAACATATTAAAAATAATTATAGCTAAAATAATTTTAATGGGCACACAATATTAAAAGCTGTAACATCAATAACCTAAAATATGAGAGATGGGGGAGTAAAAGTGTAGAATTTTTGTATGCAAACACAGTTGAGTTGTTACTGGCTTAAAATAACATGTAATAATTATATTTTATGTAAGCCTCATGGTAATTACAAAGCAAAATCCTGCAGTAGATACACAAAAGATTAATAGAAAGAAATAAAAGCCTGCCATCACAAAAAGTCACCAAATTATAAAGAAAGACAGCAAAAGAGAAAGAAAGGAACAAAGGACTACAAACCATTTTAAAAATTAATAAAATGACAATAATAAGTCCTTACCTACCAATAATTAAATGTAAAAGGATTATTCAATCAAAAGATATAGAGTAGGCTGGGTGCTATGGCTCACACCTGTAATCTCAGCACTTTGGGAGGCTGAGGCGGGCAGATTACTTGAGGTCAGGAGTTCAAGACCAGTCTGGCCAACACAGTGAAACCCTGTCTGTAATAAAAAAGCAAAAATCAGCTAAGTGTGGTGGTGCACACCTGTAATCCCAGCTACTCGGGGGGCTGAGGTTGGAGAATCACTTGAACCCAGGAGATGGTGGTTGCAATGAGCCAAGATCAAGTCACCAGTGTACTCCAATCTGGGCAACAAAGTAAGACTCCTTCTCAAAACAAAAACAAAGATATAGAGTGACTGAATGGATATAAAATTAAGATCCAAGAATATGCTACCTACAAGAGACTCACTTTAGCTTTGAGAACACACAGGCTGAAAATGAAGGGATGGAAAAAGATATTCCATGCAAATGTTAACCAAAAGAGAACAGAGTGGCTATATTTATATCAGACAAAGTAGACTTTAAGTCAAAAACTGTCAGAAGAGACAAAGAAGATCATTATATAATGACAGAGGGGTCAATTCATCAAGAAGATTTAACTATTGTAAATAGTAATACATCTAACATCAGGGTACCTCATTATAAAACAAGTATTAAGAGAACTGCAAGGAGAAATAAATGACAATATAATAATAAAGGGGACTTTATTATGCCACTCTTGACAGTAGATAGATCATGCAGGCAGAAAATCATAAGGAATCAACAGATTTGAACAACACTATAGAAAAAATGGACCTAATAGACATATAAAGAACATCCTATCCAACAGCAGCAAAATACACATTCTTGTCACACACACACAGAACATTCTTTAGAATAAATATGTTAAGACACACAAAAAAAGTCTTAAATTCAAGAAAATTAAAATCATATCATGTATCTTTTCTGACCACAATGGTATAAAACTAGAAATAAAAACAGAGGGAAAAATGGAAAATTCAGATATATAGAAACTAAAGAACACATTCCTGAGCAATCAATGGGTCAAAAGGAAATTTAAAATACATCTAAGACAAAACAAAATGGAAATACAACATACCAAAACTTATGGGATAAAGCAAAAGAAGTTCTAAGTGGGAAAGTTTATATTGATAAATGTCTAAATTATGGGGAAAAAAAAGACCTCAAACAACTTAACTTTACATCTCAGCAAACTAGGGGAAAAAAAACTGGACCCAAATTAGCATATGGAAAAAATAGTAAAGACTGGAGCAGAAATAAATGAAATAGAGAAGAGTAAAACAACAGAAAAGATGGACAAAACTAAAACCTGGTTTTTTGGAAAGATAAACAAAACTTTAACTAGAATAGCCAAGAAAAAAAGAGAGAGGACTCAAATAAATAAAATTACAAATGAAAGAAGAGGCATTATAACTGATACCACAGAAATACAACAGATCATAAGAGACTATTATGAACAACTATATGGCAACAAAATGGATAACCTAGAATAATAAATAAATTCCTGGAAACATATGACCTACCAAGATAAAATAATGAAGAAACAGAAAATCTGAACAGACCAATAAAGAATAATAAGACTGAATCAGCAATAAAAAGTCTCCCAGCAAAGCAAAGCCCAGGACCTGATGGTTTCACCACTGAATTCCACCAAACATTTAATGCCAATCCTTCACAAATTCCTCCAAAAAAAATTGAGGAGGAGGAAATACTTGCAAACTCATTTCATGGGGCCAGCATTACCCTGATACCAAAGCCAGACGAAGACATCACAAGAAAACTATAGGCCAGTAATCCAAATGAACACAGATGCAAAAGTTCTCAACAAAACACTAGCAAGCTGAAATCAACAGCAGAGTAAAAAGATCATACACATGATCAAATGGTATTCATCCCTGGGGTGCAAGATGATTCACCGTACACAAATCAATAAATGTGATAAACCACATTAATAAAACATAAAAATCATATGATCTTCTCAATAGATTCAGAAAAAGACAAAATTCAACATCCTTTCATGATAAAAATGCCCAATAAATTGGGTATAGAAGGAATGTACCCCAAAAAATAAGAAAGACCATATATGACAAGCCCACAGCTAACATCATTCTCAAAGGTGAATAGTAACAAGGGTGCCCACTCTCACCACATCTATTCAACATAGTACTGAAAGTCCTAGCAGGAGCAACTGGGCAAGATAAGGCATCCAAATTGGAAATGAAAAAGTTAAATTGTTTGTAGATGGCATGATCTTATTACATAGAAAATTCTGATGACTCCACCAAAAAAAAAAAAACGGTTAGAACAAATTCAGTAAAGTTACAGGGTACAAACTTAACATTCAAAATTTGCTTGTATTTCTATACGAAATCGACAAACTATCTGAAAAATAAATGTAAAAAAAATCCCATTTACAGTAGCATACCAAACAAAAAAATCCCTTACAAATAAATTTAACCAAGGCAGTGAAAGATCCATACACTAAAAACTGTAAGACATTGGCTGGGCATGGTGGCTCATGCCGGTAATCCTAGCACTTTGGGAGGCCAAGGCAGGCAGATCACCTGAAGTCAGGAGTTCGAGACCAGCCTGGCCAACATGGCAAAACCCCATCTCTACTAAAAGTACAAAAATTAGCCGGGCGTGGTGGCAAGCACCTGTAATCCCAGCTACTCAGGAGGCTGAAGCAGGAGAATAGCTTGAACCCGGGAGGCAGAGGTTGCAGTGAGCCAAGATCATACCACTGCACTCCAGCCTGGGCAACAAGAGCAACACTCCATCACAAAACAACAAAAAACAAAACTGTAAGACATTGATGAAGGAAACTGAAAATGACACAAATAGATGGAAAGTTATCTCATGTTCATGGATTGGAAAAATATTGTTGAAATGTCCATACTATCCAAAGAAATCTATAGATTCAATGTGATCCCTATCGAAATCCCAATGGCATTTTTCACAATCCTAAAATTCATATAGAACCCGAATATCCATAGCAATCTTGGGGGAAAAAAAAGCTGGAGACCAGCCTGGGCAACATAATGAGACCCCATCACAAAAAAAAAAAAAAAAAAAAAAAAAAGACAAGAAATAACAAATGTTGGTGAGAACAGAACCCTTGCACACTGATGGTAGGAATGTAAACTGGTATAGCCAGTATGAAAAACAGTACAAAGAGTACTCAAAAAATTAAAAATAGAGCTACCACATGATCTAGCTATCACACTGCTGGGTATATATCTGAAGGAAACAAAATCAGTATCTTGACATATCTGCACTCCATGTTCATTGCAACATTATTCACTAGACATGGAAACATGTCTGTCAATGAATGAATGAATATATACACACATACTTGCACATAATGGAATATGACTCAGCCATAAAGAAGAAGAAAATTCTGCCATTTGCAGTAACATGGGTAAAGGTGGAGAGCATTATGCTAAGTAAAAAAAGCTAGACTAGAAAGACAAATACTGTATGATCTCATTTTTAACTAGTCTAAAAAAGTTAAACTCATAGAAACAGAGTAGAATGGTGGTTGCCAGGAGATGGGGTTTGGGGGAAAAAGTGAGATGCTGATCAAAGGGTAAAAACTTTCAGTTATAAGATGAATATGTTCCATGGTGACTATAGTTAACAATATTGTATTGTGTACTTGAAATTTGCTAAGACAGTAGTAGATCTTAAGTGTTCTACACACACACAAAAAGGTAACTTACGTGAGGTGACAGATGTGTTAACTAACTTGATTTCGGTAATCATTTCACAATATATATGTATCAAATCATCACATTGTACACCTTAAGTCTATTCCGTTTTTTCAATTATACCCTGAGATGAAAAATTCATGAACTAGGTAGAGATAAATTAAAGTATGTGTAAAACCTGTATACTAAAAGTGACATAACTGCTGAGATAAATTAAAGAAGAGCTAAATAAATGAAGTGATACTCCATGAGACAGGCCATGTTTATTGAAGACTCACTCTTAAGACAGCAACTCCTAAAGGACAGGTGCAGTGGCTCACGCCTATAATCCCAACACTTTGGGAGGCCGAGGAGGGTGGATCACTTGAGGTCAGGAATTCAAGACCAGCTTGGCCAACATGCCAAAACCTCGTCTCTACTAAAAATACAAAAATTAGACAGGCGTGGTGGTGGGTACCTGTAGTCCCAGCTACTCGGGAGGCTGAGGCAGGAGAATCACTGGAACCTGGGAGGCAGAGGTTGCAGTGAGCTGGGATGGTGCCACTGCACTCCAGCCTGGGCAACAAGTTGAGACTCCGTCTCAAAAAAACAAACAAACAAACAAAAAAAACAGCAACTCTTCCCAAAATCATTTACATATTCAGGCATTCTCAGTCAAAATCTGGGAATGCATTTTTCTTTTTTTTATTATTATTTTTTAGAGATGGGGTGTCACTCTGTGGCCCAGGCTGGAGTGCAAGTGGCATGATCACGGCTCACTGAAGCCTCAACCTCCTGGGCTCAAGCAATCCTCCCACCTCAGCCTCCTGAGAAGCTGGGACCACAGGTGCACACCACCACGCTTGGGTAATTTTATTTTACTTTTTTTTACAAACTGAGTCTTGCTATGTTGCCTAGGCTGGTCTCAAACTCCTGGCCTCAAGTGATCCTCCTGCCTCAACCTCCCAAAGTACTGGGACTACCAGTGTGAGCCACTGCGTCCAGCCTGGGCATGCATTTTTCTACAAACTGACAAACTAATCCTAAAATTCAGATGGAAATGCAAAGAACTCGCAACAAATAAAACTAAGAATGAGAAAGGTTGGGAAGCTTACAACACAGACTTTAATACATAATATAAAGTTATAATGAGCAAGACTGTGTGGTACTCACATAGAGTTCAATGGAAGAGAAATAGTGTCCCAGAAACAGACTTATACATCTACAGTCAATTAATTTTAGACAAACTAATTCTATAGATAAAAGAGTCTTTTCAACAAATGATGCTGGAACAACTGTATACCCACATGAGAGAGGTGTGGGAAGATGACCTCAAGCCTTCATGCCATACATACAAATTAACAGAAAATAGGTAATAGGCCTGAAACTATAAAGTCTTTACAGGAAAACATAAAGAACATCTTCACAACCTTGAGGTAGGCAAAATTTCCTTAGATAGGACACAAAAAAAGCAAAAACAATAAAATAAAATATTAATATGACTTCATCGAAATGTAAAACTTCAGTTCTTCAAGAGACATTATGAAAATAAAAAGGCAAGCCACTGTCAGGAAGAAACTATTTGAAATATGTGTATCTGACAAAAGAAAATATATTCAGAAAATATAAACAACTCTTGCAACTCAGTAAGACAAACAAAAAGTGGACAAAAATTTTAGACATTTTATAAAGAAGATATATGAATGATTAATAACCATAAGAAAAAAATGCTCAAAATCATTACTCAATGTGAAATGTAAATTGACATTGCAATGAGATACATCTACACACCCCTAAGAATAGCTACAATTTAAAAGACTGACGATACTAAGTGCTGGCAAGGATGAGGAGAAATTGGGACACACATATACTGCTGGAGGGAAAATAAAGTGGTCAAGCACTGTAGAAAACAGTTTGGCAGTTTCTACTTACCATACCACACAGCAATTCCATTTCTTGGTATCAACCCAAAAGAAATGAAAATCTATGTCCACAGAAAGATACAGCAGCTTTAATTAACCACATGAACCAAAAATGGAAACAACTCAAATTGCCAACATATGATCTAATAAATTATGGTACAGCTATACAAAGGAATAACATTCAACAATAAAAAGATTAACAACTGACATACAACATGGATGGATCTCAAAGGCATTGTTACATGAAGAAAGCTTTTACATAAAAGAAGCATATGATTCCAGTTACTGTAATGACAGCACATCAGTCATTGCCTGAGGCTGAAGGTGAGAAAGATTAGCTGGCATGGACACTATAGAACTTTTAAGAGTGAGGGATCTTAATTTTGGTGGTAATTATTCATGTGTATAAATTTGTCAAAACTCATCAAAATGTACTATTAAATGGGTGCATATTACTGTATGCTAACTACCTCAATAAAGTTGATTTAGAAAAGAACTCTGAACGTGGACTCCAAAGTTTCACATGGCCAGGGGCCTACTTGCCTTTCATCATCAGCTACTGTGCTTCCCAGTCTTTCTAGTTCTCTGGGCATTTATACTTGGTGTTTCCCACTTACACCTAATTAATGTCTACTCCCCTTAGACTCAGGTCAAGGTGAGAGGCGAATCCGGCTGGGCTTCTGGGTCGGGTGGGACTTGGAGAACTTTTCTGTCCAGCTAAAGGAGCGTAAACGCACCAATCAGCACTCTGTCTAGCTAAAGGTTTGTAAACACACCAATCAGCACTCTGTAAAAACGCACCAGTCAGTGCTCTGTGTCTAGCTAATGGTTTGTAAACACACCAAACAGCACTCTGTAAAAACAGGCCAATCAGCACTCTGTAAAATGGACCAATCAGCGCTCTGTAAAATGGACCAATCAGTGCTCTGTAAAATGGACCAATCAGCAGGGCGCAGGCTGGGCCAAATAAGGGAATAAAAGCTGGCCACCTAAGCCAGCAGCAGCAACCCGCTCGGGTCCTCTTCCACTCTGTGGAAGCTTTGTTCTTTTGCTCTTCACAGTAAATCTTGCTGTTGCTCACTCTTTGGGTCCGCACTACCTTTATGAGCTGTAACACTCACCGCGAAGGTCTGCAGCTTCACTCCTGAAGCCAGCAAGATCACGAACCCACCGGGAGGATCAAACAACTCCAGACACGCCACCTTTAAGAGCTGTAACACTCACTGCAAAGGTCTGCGGCTTCACTCTTGAAGTCAGTGAGACCATTAACCCACCAGAAGGAAGAAACTCCAGACACATCTGTACATCTGAAGGAACAAACTCTGGACACACCATCTTTAAGAACTGTAACACTCACCGCAAGGGTCCGCGGCTTCATTCTTGAAGTCAGCAAGACCAAGAACCCACTGAAAGGAACCAATTCCGGACACAAAAGGACTTTCTCTAGTTTACTTTCCCAGCCTCTAGTTTACTTTCCCAGACTCTAGTTTCCATCCTCTTGTTAAGTGCTCTCCTTGCTCCCAGTAAATGGACAATGAATGAAATGAAATGCCATTTGGCCCTGAGTGGACAGTAAACAGGAACAAAGCAGACTTTCATACATCCCCACTGCCCACACATAAAGTTCTGCTATATTTGAGAGAAGAAAGTTGCCAAGAAAAAATAGTTTGGGAACAGGGCATCTCATGTACTTTGGTGTTGCCCCCAGGAGTCTGGTCTAATCCTGTCTGGGTACAGGACAAGTTCTGGTTTCATTCAATAAGTTCAACACTCTCAGAATGAAAGAAAAAGTTCTAGGTGTCTAAATCACTTAGAACTGAAATCAATGCATTCTCTCTTTATTTCTTTAAAGTAGTAATGGCCTGGACCCAGATTTTCAAAGGTTACTTTGAATTGCATTAGGTAATCACCTAATTCATTCTTTCTACCAATGTTGTATAGTGTAGACCAACATCTCCAGATTACCATCAACCACCCCAAACCAACCCACCTTTTGGAGGTGTAGAAAGAAGCTAGTCTGGCCTTACAGCAGCATATTCTGGCTTAAGGTAAGGAGTTATAGTCTCAGGTCTTGCAATAATTACTTACATGAATTTTAACAATTACTTTAATGTCTCTCTCTCTCTCTCTCTCTCTCTCTCTCTCTCTCTCTCTCTCCAGGCAGACAGACAGTCAAAAGTACTAGAACTGGGAAAAACCTAACATTTTCTCAGATCTCTAGGAGGTATAATTTACATTATAATTTATCATCATTAGAAGAATGACAACTTTCTATACAGCTCCAGCTCCTTTATTCACGATTATGCAACTATGAATAATTCTTTGGCTCAAAATGAAGAATTATTGGATAGTCATAACTAAGCTATTTTTTTAAAAAAGAAGGATGGGGAGGAAGGAAGACAGGAAAAAAGTCTCATAATAAAATATTAAAAGATGCTCAGGAGACTGAAGTTTGAATATTGCTCACATAACCTTCATTAGAATATGCTATAAAAGCAGTTCACACAGTAATAAAAACTGAGTCAAATAACAGCCATAATAATTTTATGAAAGATTTTTTTAAAACCACAATAATTTCCAAGTACATAGTATATAAAGCCGAGATGCGCCATGGCAGTTTTTTTAATATGAAAATGGGTAAGAGGCTTCTATATTTGTTTCCTGTACTGGTGCCTGCTTTTATCACACAGCAGTCCACATATTATAGTATATGAAGCAGCAAGCATTTTAAAACTTGGGAGAATGAAAGTACTAACAAAAACAGCATATAAAAGATGTTCATTATTCTAATAGAGCATTTTTATCCTGATTTTTTAAAAACTCACACAATTAGCATTCAAGTTATTTTTCATTATTATCTGCTTCCTTTGCTATAATACAAAAGTTACATATTTTATCTACTAATACTGCCTAATTTGAGGATATCATAGAAACCATAATTTTGTTCATTTAATATTAAAATAATTTTATAACCTCACTGATGAGTCAAACAAGATGTTCATATAATATTGTCTATCTAATATTACAGGCAGAAATAACTATAGAAATTAGGTATTTCTTAGAAACATTTTCATTAAAATTTTATAAGCATATGATATTTCTGTGCACTGCCTTTTTGGTTTTAAGTAATTGTTTATAAAAGGCAGAAACGTTGTTTTATATGCAGTCAATATTTCTGTTAAGAAGGTTCATACATTACAGGTTTCTAGGGAAAAAGTATGTAATTATTAAACTTGCTGGGTTTTTTTAGCTAATATTACCTAGATGTGACTTTTTCAAACACTCTATTGGTTGACTTCAAATATCATTTGATTTCTTTGAGGAATTGTATTGTTTTGCAACTTCAGGAATTATCTTGGCATTAAAAAAGAAGTGTGGAAAGAAAAATGTTTGTTACTATATATGAAGAGAACAAAAAGGTCCTACCTGTTTCAATCTCATGAAGAAAGTCTCTGTGAAAGTCTTTCTGCTGAAATACCAAAATCGCTCATTTGCAGGGTACACACGGACTACTGTCTCCAGGAGAAAGCGAACAGGCTCCACCACCTCTGTGACTACCATATCCACTGCCACAGTCATGTATACTTGCTTATCTGTAGTAGAAATTTTCTGGGTTTTATGCGAGCTTTATTATTCCTTGTCTACTTTAAACAAAGTTTCCTCACTTATGAAAGAATTAAAGTTCTTTACAATTGTAATACCTTCTATGTTTATTTTTAACTGTTCTATTCACATTTTGATTAAATAAGTATGCAAGTACTCCAAGCATGTTTCTTAGGAACTAATAATCCTAAGTGTTTGTTGTTTTGAGACAGAGTCTCACCCAGGCTGGAGTACAATGGAGCGATCTTGGCTCACTGCAACCTCCGCCTCCAGGGCTCAAGCAATTCTCCTGCCTCAGCCTCCCAAGTAGCTGGGATTACAGGTGCCCGCCACAACACCCAGCTGATTTTTAAAATATTTTTACTACAGACGGGGTTTCACCATGTTGGCCAGGCTGGTCTCAAACTCCTGACCTCTGGTGATCCACCCCCATCAGCCTCCCAAAGTGCTGGGATTACAAGCGTGAGCCACCACACCTGGCCTCATTGAGGTTTTTGAATCTATGGCCTGGTCATTCCATACCATTTTGTAATTTCCTCATTCCTTTTTAAATATTTTTTAAAATTTATTTTCTTTACAATTTTTAGTTCTCTGTTAAAGGAAAGTCCAAATAACCAAGGCCACCACTAGAAGAAACCCTCAATAGTGTTTTTAAATATTATATAACATTCAGATTCATCAACTACTTCTCAAATTCAATAACAATTTTATTACATTCTTACTAAATACAGTCTTACTAAATACACCTGCCAATTCAAGAGAAACTAAAATTTGTTAGACATTATACTTGACCTGGAGGACCTTAGAGAAAGGAGTAAGGAGTAATAACACAAGACAGAATATAACATTCAACTGGATCTTAGTGCAGTGGAAAGATCCAAGACTTTTCATCTCTCAGGTTCTAAACTTCTTCCATAAAAATCAAACTTTATTTGATCACACATTCTCTGAGTAATGTGTAATTTCAAGGACATAATTTAGAAATTTTAAAAATCAGGGCAACATTTTTGTGTGGCATATGAGATAATGTTAAATTTAAAATGTATACTTTGAATCAGAATATTATAATATACTATTATATAGTTTAATAGAATAAATTATAAATAAATTTTCTTTTGTGGACCAAATATATATTTTATTGCAAAATAAAACTAAACTAGGTGTTACATTAAAAACATAAAAACTATTTTTATAACTTGATATGCAAAATTCTTATATTTTGTTCTTCAAAACTGTCAACTGGCTTATTTTTATCATTTTTGTGGCTTCCTTCTGAACAAGTATAAGAAAGAAGTTACAGGTATTTGCAAGCCTGTCTCCAGAAATAACAAATTGTGGGTCTAAAAATTATTTACTGCTAATAAATGAAAAGTTAAATTTTATATAATCTTTTTTTCTGTTTAGCCTTTATTTTTAGACAGCTTAATATGTGATCAATGTATGTGATTTATATAAATGGTGAATACTCTCTTTAAGGAAATGAAAGAATAATTATCATTTTAATGCCCTTCATTAACATATTATATTTTCATATCAGTATTCACGAATGCTTCCTGTCAGTAACCAAAAGTCTACTGTGGGTATAAACTAAATAATATAAAAATTAATGATAAAACAAACTGATCCATTATATTCTAAATATGAATTAATGGTTTAATGACAGTAAAGCACTTAGGGTAGGCATATAACTCGGCAGGTAAAACTTTAAATTTAGTTTAAAAGTAGATAATGAAGGGGCAAAAAACAGGCAATTAACAGCTATCTGGATGAAGTAGGAATGAAAAAACACAATGGAACAACGAAAAATGTGACTATTCAACATTTATACATTCTGTTCAATACTAGACATGATAAATAATATGAAAAGTTAAAAAACTAAGAAAAAACTATTTGCTACAACTGAAATATTTAATATATATTACAAGCATCCCGAAGGCCAAAAGACTGGAGCCAATAATTAATAAATGAAAAACTATAAGTAAACTATAATGCAAAAATAGTTAATAATTTAAAAATATTCAAAATTCTAAAATATTTCCTTTTCATCATTTTCTTTAATATTTCTCCATCACTAGTCTCCACAAATGAAATAACTCTATAGTGGTATATGAAAAACAAAGCCCAAATGCTTTCTCTATAATCTAATAAAATTAATTCAGGCCAGGTGCAGTGGCTCACATCTGTAATCCCAGTGCTTTGGAAGGCAAGAAGATCAGTTGAGGTCAAAGGTTCAAGACAAGCCTGGGCAACAAAGCATGACCCCATCGCTACAAAAATAAAATTTAAAAATTAGCCATGCATGGCAGCACACACCTGTAGTTCTATTTAATAGCTACTCAGGAGGCTGAGGTGGGAGGATTGCTTGAGCATGACAGTTTGAGGTTACAGTGAGCTATAATGCCCCTATACTCTACCCTGGGCAACAGAGTGAGACCCTGTCTCTTAAAATAATAACAATAATAATAATTCACATATCTTTTGGGGAGGATTTTTTTAAATAGTGGAGATTTCCCCCATAGAAGCATAAAGAATAAAAATGAACCTCAAATTCTCAATGAAAGAATAAGTCCACTTTGAGTTCCAAATTTTTTTTAAAACATGACAAGCAACATTGTTCATAATATAAAATGTAAAGCAAACAATAAGGGATCTTTTAAGAAAAGTCACCTTTTGGGGTTTCCTCGTTAAGTGCCAGAAATACTGGTGCATTGGGGTTCCACATGCCAGTGATGACATAAGCTCTCCCATCATAGCTCTTTCCCATGGATTCCTATAAAAATTCAAACAGTAATTACTGATAAAAGACATCAAAAAAATCACTACTTTAAATTACATCTTACTTTAAGCAATACAAATTATTAAAATTTAGATTAACAGTCAAGCAGGAGCTTTATATTCACTGTAAATTCTTTTCATCCTACAAAAGCATTTATTTAAATATTAAATTCTTCTACAGCTTTCTTCAAGCACAGTTTCTATTTAAAGACATGTACCCTTGGATAAAAGGAGGCATATACTTACATGCTGAATCAAAAAAACATAATATTGTTACAAAGTTGTATTTAACTTGATCTTGACACCAATTGTCCAAATCTCATATACACATAAGAATGTATATGGTTTCTATTAAAACAATAATATAGAATTAGCTGAAGACAGTTAAACTGAACTAGTAGCTAATCACAGTAGGGAAAGTTAATATTTTTCTTCTAATATTCTAATTTTTAATGAATTCTTAAAATATTAATTTAGTTTGTAGCAATTAATACCTTTAAAATTAACACTTGTCTATTTTCTATATGTCAGATATTTATATACTTTCTTACAATCATAAATTAGTATTAGGAGACTAATTTTTGGTTTGTAAGCAGCATCCAAGTGTATTAACTCTCTCCCTCTACTGTTACACTTACTCCCTCTTTCTTCCCTTCTCTCCTTCCTCCTCTTCTCCATTCTTTAAGACTTTACCAAGCCAGCTCTTGACTCTCACTAAAAAAGCCAGCAACTCCTATGGCGAAAGCTAGGCTACTTATAGCTTGTGTATATGTGTGTGGAGAGAGGAGGGGTAGAGTTTGTCCCATGAAAGAACAACACACAGCATACAAGTATTTCCATATGCAAATGAACAGTATCTACAATATTTCAGTTTTTGTAGCGATTTCCTCACATTATGAATAGAGACTGTTAAAAGGGTCAGACTAAAACAAAGAGAAAAACTTTTCTTTTTTCATTATTACCCATTCACAGATGTTTCTCTGAACCCCCTATAAAATTGTGTCAGTCATTTGGTAATTACTATGTATATTTTTCTAGTGTATTAGTAATACTTCACTAATCAGATTGTGTAGCTTGAGCGCAGGGACCATGCATTCCAGAGATGAAATACACTCAAGGTCACTTGTAAACGAAACCCTCTCAGCAGCCCCAACACACTCATATGATAATGGTCTCTTTCTCTCCTCTACACACACACACACACACACACACACACACACAGAGTCACCTGTTGCTTAATGATAGGGTTATGTTCTAAGTTATGTGTCATTAAGTGATTTCTTTATGCAAATAGAATACACCGTACTTATAAAAACCTAGATGGTATAGGGGCTACACAACTAGGCTGTTGCTCCAAGGCTACAAACTTGTACAGCACGTTACTGTACCAAATACTATAGCAACTATAACAATACCATTTGTGTACCTAAACACAGAAAAGGTACAGTAAAAATACATTATAATCTTACGGGACGACCTTAAAGTATGGGTCCATCATTCACGGAAATTTTCTTACTCAGCATATGACTGTTATATATAAGTAATCTGGCTATTTCACTGAAAAATATATCTTCATTTATAAATAGGACTTTCCTGTCATGAGGATCACATGATATTTGGGAGTGTCATAGAAGGAGTAAAAGTATTAATATCTTGTTCTAGAGTGCAGAATTAAGACTAATTAGGCCAAGTTACAAGAACTATGATTTCAGGTGATTATAAAAAAATAACTTTGTAATAACCAGAACTGTCCCTTAGACTTTAACATAAGGTAATGAGTTTCTCTTCATTAGAAGTAGTCTAGCTGAGGTTCAATGTCCACTATGAAGATTAACAACACTGGGTAATAACAAATCACAACTGCTAATCATTGCAAATACAAGCCTCTCATTTGCCCAACTATTTGTTGCAAGTAAGCCCCTTCTCTGTCTGAGAGCATGAATGCTCACAACTCTTTTGATTTAGATATGGACTCAAAGGTGGGGAGGACTGTTCTGAAAGTTAGAGAGACATAGTGAAGGGGCCTCAGAAGTTTATACCAGTTCTATAATTCTGTAATCTGAATTTAGGTTTTATGGACAAATCTCTGCAGTAATTCATCTTAGTCTTTTAAACTCTGAAAGACCATGATTAATTAGGACCTAGGATCTTAAAAGTTTTCATTACCTCAATCCTCCTAATTTACTTCCTCATGGAATTTTCAGGGCTCCAAAATGCTAATGGCTTGCCTTAGGTAAAACCACTTTCATTACTGATATGTGGTCAAGAAAAAAAAAAAAGATGTAAGAGACATAGATCAATAGCTAATTTATGTTTTAATAATCAATTTAACTGGTTTTCCTTACCTGACCTATTCAGGCAGTGCTTCCTCTATATTTCTGTGGCTTGAAGTACCACCAGATACTAAAAAGTTTGTTTCCCACAAGACCATGAACCCACAGATGGTAAGAGCTATATTTTACTCATATGCATAACCTCATCACTTCACACAACACTTAGCAGACAAACAGGTACCCAAAAGCCTGAATAAACCATTCCTGTACTGCTATAAAATCAGTATTGATATTACCATGAAATTACTCAAAAAAAAGTTGACCTAATTAGTAATGTTTAACTGATATTTGCAAAACACAGCTAAAAAGAAGAAAGCATATAGTGCTTATTATCACTAAATATAAGAATTTCAGTTCACTAAGAAACTTTATACTTACTCTAAGATGATTATTTTCCTATAACGTCTCCAAATCACAAATTAAATGTTTTCACTAACTGCAATATTAGAAGGTATTTCTATTTGAAAGTTAAAATAGCTTGCTACTTTTACACTAAATATCAACTGTTGAATATATATTAACCTTTAAGGACATTCCTTAAATAAATATTACTCCTAGTATAAGTGTACTTTGCTAAGGACAGGTAATCAAGAAGAAATTCAGAAAGGGAAACGCTTTAAAGAAAACAAAAGTACCCATCACAAACTCAAATTAATAGCAGTGCATTAAAATAAATGAAAGGCACCATATTCACTCTGGAGATGCTTGTTATAATCATGTACTTGTTACTACAGGTTCAAAGAAAAGATATCTTTCTAAGAAGCCAAAAAAATAAATGGACATTATCATAACACAATCCTTTTATTTGTTGCATATGACTGTTTTGGTGGAAATTGTCCTGAATTCCTCTTTCACAAGTAATTTTAAGTTTGCGTTTCCAAATTTAATTATTACTATCACACAGCTGCAAGAAATAATTTTGACAATATGACAAAATTTGTAAATAGAAAATACTTGTCAAATATAAAATAACTATCATCTATACTTGGTTAAGGTGCTTAAGATTATCATTACCATATCCAGTAAATGCATGTCACTGTTCTTCACGTTTCGACCTGGGCTTAATAACATTCCAAAACATCTGAAAATATTGGGGGAAAAAAAGGAGAAATAAGGTATCAAGAATATATAGAAGCCCAGTGAGCATAAAGCCTTTTTACAATAACTATACAATCTGAGCTCTGTATTTATAAGCTTTAGTTTTTTTTCTAAAAACACCAGAAATAAGTATTTATGAAGATAGATAATAAAATCACACAGAAATAAGTCATCTAAATTTCCAGATCTTTATTTGCATGTAAAATATTACCAATAAGAAACTACCATAAAAGTGGCCATAAGTTGTTAATTGAAAGAAAATATGGTACTGAGATACAAATTAGTTTCTAGGGAGATAAGAGATTTTATTTGCCTTAGACTTATTCCAAACATATAGGTCAAAATCCATTAACCCAGTTAAACCAAAAACGAGGTTTTTAAAAATAAGAAGATGACACTATGCTCTCTTTGCATCAAACCAGATTAAAAAGAAAGCAAACTGTTGTTACCCTGGCCCTCCACAGTCATGTTCACTAAGTAGCATGTTAATACTATATCCTCAGTTTTAAAAAAAAAAAGTTATGCAAACTTTATTACTAAATGGGCTATTAGTGAAGATATTATATCCAACATATTATTAATTTACTGTTAACTATTTAATATTGTTCTGTGCTTCCTGATGCCAGAGAAGCTTTAGGAATCCCATCAACACTGCCACTTTATTTGTAAAGGATTTGCATAAGCTCTAAAATTCAGCTAACTCGAAGATTTTTATGTTTGTTAGGCTATTATTAACTCCACTTTACATGTAAGCAAAGTAAAGTCCAGAGAAGTTAAGCAATTTACCCAAATTCATACTGCTATATTATAGGTCTCGTAACTTGAGAAGCAATGTAATCTGTCCACAGGGTCCCTCTGCCAACAACACATACCCACACACAAGAATGTTTTTATTGTAGTTTCCCAAAACTTCAAGATATGCTATGTAACAATTTATAGAAAGGGTAAAGAATATAACTATATTAAACATAAGATTTTTTCAATTTCAAAATAGTGGCAGCTAACCACTCAACCGTTATTCTCATCCTTGTTGTTTTTCAAAGGTTTACTCTCCTAGTATCATGGCTAATGCTGACATGAGCAAGATCACTGGTCCTGTCCAAATGTAAGCTTAGTAAGGAGTAAATGTATACTTCCTATAAGTTCTTGAGGATCACTTGTTCAAGGCTTCCTTCTGGCACCCAAAAATGATCACGTACATAGCAAAGCTAAAGTTGGTAAGCTCTGAGGATAACTTTTCAAATACAGAGAACAAAATATAATCTACAAGAGAAATAATTATACTCTAGTATTCATAATTTCACCTATATACTGCTATGATCTCTCTCCTATGAATTCTTGTAATAAACACTGTCTACACAAATTAAATAATAATCAATCATGCAATTCACTGTACTATTTCTTATACTACTGCCCTAAATTCTTGCTAAGGAAGAATAAAAGATTTAATTCTTTTTTAGAAATAAAATTTGACTCTCTAAAAAATTAGGTCAATGAGAACAGATTTATCTCACACATCCCTACATACTTTGCTTCAGCTTGCATCTCTAATGGTTTTTTGTTTTAAGAACAATGTTCTATATTATAGGGTTTAAATTACAAACCCATTATATAGTCACCATAATAAGTTAACAAATACCAAAGTATGTAAAGAAAAAATAATTTCTCCCTTCTGTCAGCCTCCTTAGGAAATAATGCTAACAGTTTGGAAAGTATACTCTCTTTCTTTTTGTTCTTTTTGAAAATTTAAAGGATTTTTTTATTTTTTAAGGCAGAAAAAGATTTTTTTTAATTTTTATTTTTATAGGCATAAGGATTACAAGTGCAGATTTCTTACATGTATGCATTATGTAGAGATAAAGTCTGTCTGGGCTTTTAGAGTACCCATCAACCAAAGACTGAACATTGTAACCAATAGGTAATCTTTCAACCTTCACCCCGCTCTCCCACCCTCCTACCTTTTGTAATCTCTGATGGCTATAATAAAAGTTAAAGTTTAATGTCATTTGTTTCTCAAGCACTTCCAGGTGAATGATAAAATAGATGAAATTTCACATTTTCTCAGCATAATATTTCTATATTACATTGTACTGCAAAAGGAGCCTTAGAGGTTTGGATTTTTCTTAAGTAGCAATACTCATCACCTTATTTTGATAATCTTTAATGCACTAATCTTTTCCTGGCCTGGAAAAAAAAAAAAAGCCCTGCCACCAACCAGCATGACCTTAGAGAAAGCACCTAACCCCCTGGGACTCTGCTCCCTCTTCTAGCAAACAGGAAAGGTATAATACATGAACTTTAAGCACTTAAATTACATAATTATTTTCTGTCAAGCTGTATTAGTCATTTTCAAAATTACACTTCATTAAAGCACACCAGGATTCCTATGGAGGCCAGCAAGATCTATTAGGAATAATGTGTCAGAAATTAGATAGATATTATTAGTAACATTAACACCTAATAGGAGTATTCAGTGTTTCACTGGGGAGTTCAAAGCATTCAACAGTCTCTTATTAACTCTATAGATAAGGTAAAAAGCAAATTGCTATCCCACCTATTTTCTCAAGGAGTTTACAGTATAGTGGGGGGGAAAATAAGTAAACAGGCAATTAGAATCTGATATCATTCGTTCTAAAATACCTGTAAGTACATAATATCAACAAAGTATAGAAGAGACATCCAACATAATTTATAATATAGTGAATAGCTGACTTCACTGAAAAATTGAAATCAACCTCCTGAGAATGAGCTGATGATGCTATTATATCAATTATTATCATAATAATAGATATTGTTTATTGAATGTCTTAACTTTAAGCCAGGCTCTACTATACTGTTACATTTAAATTTCAAAGCAACCTTCATACAACAAACGATAAAACTGATTTTCAAAAACAATGGTTTTGCCCAAAGCCACATAGCTACTAAGTTACACGACCGGGATTCATGCCCATGTCTATCACTACAAAACTATATGGTCTTTTACATTACAGCCTGCCAAGGACTGTCAGTAAAAGACTATAAGCTCCCTGAGAGACCCTGGGCAAATCACAAACCTCAAAGTCTCACTTTCCACATTTCTGAAGTACAAATACTTGCTTTCATGTTCATTACGTCAACGTAAACTCGACATGAAAAAACTCCTGGCCGGGCGCGGTGGCGCAGTGGCTCACGCCTGTAAATCCCAGCACTTTGGGAGGCCGAGGTGGGCGGATCACGAGGTCGGGAGATTGAGACCATCCTGGCTAACAAGATGAAACCCCGTCTCTACTAAAAATACAAAAAAATTAGCCGGGCCTGGTGGCGGGCGCATGTAGTCCCAGCTACTCGGGAGGCTTAGACGAGAGAATGGCGTGAACCGGGGAGGCAGAGCTTGTGTGAGCCGAAGCTTGTGTGAGCCGAGACTGCGCCACTGCACTCCAGCGTGGGCAACAGAGCAAGACTCCGTCTCAGAAAAAAAAGAAAAAGAAAAGAAAAAACTCATGATGAAAGGGCACTGTAAACTATAAAACAGTTGATAATTATAAATTATTATAATTACCATTACCATTAAGAAGAGAAAGCTCTCCCTTTCATAGTAATACTTAGTGTTTACTCAAAATAGAACTTTAAGCAGCTTTTAACACCAAGTTAACCTCTAGAACAAATACCAAAAACTCTGTATCACTAATACGGCTTTAGACTTAACTGCAGGAAAAAGTGAGAAAAACAGATGTTGTATTAATGTCCTGCAATATGAAACTAATTTTTTAAAAACTTTTACCTTTAGTCTATCAAATCATTAGGAATTACATATATCTCCATGAAGATAAAAATGGAAGGTAGGGAAGGAGAGAGAGGAAAAGAACACGCTCTCTTGCTGTACTAAACTTTTATTATTAAAAATGAAAAAGTGGCTGGGCGCAGTGGCTCACGCTTGTAATCCCAACACTTTGGGAGGCCGAGGTGGGCAGATCACAAGGTCAGGAGATCGAGACCATCCTGGCTAACATGGTGAAACCTCCGTCTCTACTAAAAAATACAAAAAAAATTAGCCGGGCGTAGTGGCGGGCACCTGTAATCCCAGCTACCGAGGAGGCTGAGGCAGGAGAATGGCGTGAACCCGGGAGGCAGAGCTTACAGTGAGCCGAGATTGCACCAGTGCACTCCAGCCTGGGCAACAGAGCAAGACTCCGTCTCAAAAAAAAAAAAAAATGAAAAAGTGACAGCATAATAGAAAGGGAAAAACAGAACTGCAAATAAGAAAATCTATAATGCAATCACAGTTTTTCAAAACTTTATGCAAAACACTAAAACTAAATAATTTCATAAAAGTTGGAATCTCAGTCAGTCTCCCCAAAGGGGCTAAAGCAAAAAGATAATTGGGCAAATCTTCTATTGTGTCAATGAGACTGTTATTTCCCTTACTAAAAAGACTGAAGTAGAGAAAGATACACAGGCATTTGTCACTATGTACAGTGGTGTGGAACCACAAAAATAACCATATAAGCAAAACTGCATATAAAATGATATTTTTCAAAAGGAAAAATTATGATTCTTCAGTAACCTTTAAAAATTTTTGTCCAAACTTCAAAAACTCTCTTACTTTCAGTTATAAATATATAGGACAATTGTTAAAAAGTAAAACTATTGTTTATTTAGCACTTCGTTGTTTGAAGCACAAAAATTAAAGTATTTTAATTATTTAAAAAAACTTATCAAGAATATATTGAACAGTGCTTGCTGCCTTCTCATATAATTTACAATACAAAGTATTTTTTCTATCTTGGCAAACTGTCATATTCCTTTCTAAGTTTGGATTAACTTCCAAACTTTATCCTTTGCATGTTCAATGTTGTGAAGTATCTCCAAGAGTTCCTTTAATGTGAAAAATTTGCCAGAGTCATTTCCCCTGGAACATTCATGCTTTTCATCACAACCACTTTCCTTATTTACACTGATAAGTTCATCTTCACAAAGTTCATCTGGCTGCATATCTAGAGTCCACTGAATAGCAACAGTGTCAACACTCCCACAGACAGCTATTTATTCTACATCTCCATAAGTGTCCTATTCATATCCTTCAAAGTTACTTCTATAGCGAAGTAAAAGTTTGCTATACTACAGACATAATATTCATTGTTGCTCCCTGAAATGATGTCTTCAACTGCATGCTTTATGTCATATTTCTCCCAAAATTGAGATAAAGAAATTGCATAATCTCCAGTCTCCTTATAATTACTATTTCCTTTTGATGTGGCATCTAACTTCAGTATTTTGGCTGACATGCTAGCAAAACTGATTGGAATTTTTGTTTATTACAGTCTTAATCCAAAGCAGAAGTATATGCTCCAGTTAAACCATAAGCAGCTTTCTGTTCCTAGTGAAACTTAAACTAAAGGATGTTGGAGTGATTTTATCATTTTTTTAAATTTATCATACTTTTTCAATATGGTTCATATCACAACTTTATACAGGCCTAGGTCTCATTCTGTCTTCATTTTGCTGTTGCCATTTTAAAATCTTCTAAGACTGTGCATCTTCTAAAATTACATGCAATTTCACTTTCAGCATTATGACTTTTCATTTCTTTGTAGCACTGTTAGCTTTGTTGGCCAATTTCCTCTTTGGATTATCCATTTTTGTAAAATGTCAAATGGATTTATTACCAGAGACAAAGAGGCAACACAACCACATACTTTGCTATCTGTAAGTAAAGTGAATAACAGATACACAGTGACCAATCACCAACAGACTTTGGAAGAAGCGACATGATTGGTCACTAATCATGTATGTATATAGTGACTTGTGGACTGAACAGCAGAGTTTGTTTTGCAATTACTCTGTTAATATACTATGGTAACAGAAATTTGAACCATGTGTTTGGGAGACTAGTGTTGTAACTGAACCACGGTAAGAGAAAATAATGTATACCATAACTACAAAGCAAGGACTGCCTGTATATACACACATAGGTTCTAAAGAACTCTAGCCAAGATTTTGCCTTCCAGTGGTAGCAGTCTACTCAGATTTTGCAGGTTACTTACTTCTGATTATCACTCAAAAAAGACCAATAGTCTTAAAATCTTAACTGTGGTTGTTGTAATAGTACCACTAATAGTAATAATAGCATGCATTTATTAAGCATTATTGTGAACACTTTACAGTTACTAGCTAATCTTCTCCCCACAATCTTAAGAGGTAAGTTTTATTCACAATTTACAAATTGCAAACTGAAGCACAGAGAAGTTAAATAACTTGACCAAGATCACTGTAAAGCCAAGATTCAAACCCAGATGAGGGTACTCTATAGCTATTTATCCTAAAAATTTCACTCTAGTAACTTCAGTGATATCAGTAATAGGAAGAAGGAGTCTCTCCAGATTTAAAAATTGGTTACTCTTTTCATTCATCAGGTAGGAAATCGTTTTATCTATCTATCTGTCTATGTAACTAACTATCTATCTTAGATTTCCTAGAACACTAGGAAAAATCACCAAGAAAAAAATAACCTAAATAGATCTTAGGACTGCCATAGAGCTGCTACCAGTACAGAGAATTTAACATGCAGATAGGCTATAAAAGAAGAATATCTTAGGTCCACTTTTTTTAAATTTTCAACCAACAAATTTCAAAAACAAAAAAAAATACCAGTACAGAGAAAATAACATACAGAAAGAAGAATATTTTTAGGTCAATGTTCTTAAAATTTTTCATTGAATAAATTTCAAAAATAAAAACAAAAAAACCCTCCATACCATCCTTAGCAATAATGTTCCCATTAATTCTCACATTAATAAAGGGTCAAAATTTAAAATGCAGAATAACTCAAATATGAGTGCTTTCCTTCTTCACTTTTTTTTTTTTTTTTTTCAAGACAGGCTCCAGCTCTGTCACCCAGGCTGGAGTGCAGTGGCACAATCTCAGCTCTGCAACCTCCACTTCCTGATTCAAGCCATCCTCCCACCAAATATGAGTACTTTTACTAACTCCCTTCAAATACAAAATGAGAACTTAGCTACAGTCAGATTTTAAAATATATTAAAAATGATTATAACAAGAAAACCAATAAATTTCAAAGTCTGACATGGTTTAATCCCTGCTTAAAACATTTAAAATCAATTATTTTGCTTTTCCATTCAGTAAGACTAATACAGGACATTCAGATAGTGATACATTATTTGGGCTTTTGCAGATACTAGCTATATGCATCAAAATAAACGGGTGCTAATTTACAAGTATTTTTACAATTGAATGTATTTGTAAACACAATTCAAAAACATCTAAAAGCATAAAGAAAAGGAATATCTTCCCCTGTACAGCTACAGCTGATTAACAAAAGTCCATTTTTCTCCTTCATAAAGGCTCATTTTGCAGGCTACTGATTCCTGATTATCACTCATAAAACACATGTAGATAGGGTTGAACAAAACATGGGCAAAAAATGATGAATTCAATTTTATGAGAAAATTTATAGCAAAAGTACCTACATTAACTTTTGATAAAATAAGAAAACTAGTGATTAGACTTGGAGTTCCTATTTCTTTTTCTCTCGATTGTCATTTCTTTTGTTTTTTTTTCTAATTTTTTTCTTTTATCTACAGTCTATATTTTTTCCCATTTCTATTCGTATTTTTTCTTTAATCCCTTTCCTCTAGGGTTTTTCTTTCTTTACATAGTTGGAAGTAGAACTAATATGATTTAATGAAGAATTAGATGTAGAGTGAGAGAAAATGGAGTTGAAAATGCCAAGTTTTTCATCTACAATAATTGGAAAGATCAAGTTACAAATTAAAAAGACTGTGAGAAATTACAGGAGGAACAAGTTTGGGACAGTGTCAAACTTGATTTTTTAGTTTGATTTTTGAACATATTAACTTTGAGATGCCAGATGAAGATCTGAAGTTGTTGAATATATAAGTTTGGAGACCTCAGGTCAGAGAAAAACATTTGGAATCATCCAGTCATAGATATATTTAAAGTCATGAGACTGGATGGGCTAATCTAACAAGCAAGTGTGGTAGAAGAAAGACTGCTTAAACAATGTCTTTGAGATGTCAAAATGGAATAAAATAGAGTATACAAGTAGAAAATTAGCCTTAAAAGCAGGGACATTTCATATTATAAAAGAATTAAGTTTCTTGTAGTACAGTGGAATAATGAAATAATTCACCTAAATATATAAAACTTCAAAATTTAAAAAATACCAGGGAAATAAAAAGAATGAGTAAATTTATTAAAATATGCTGAAAATTTTAAAAATCAAATATTTAAAGCACAAATACAAAATTTCACCTATAAGACATATTTAACTTTTAATTAATTGCTTAAAGTCCTACTAAAAAAAAAATAACATTTTTAAGTCTTCCTCCCTCTTCCCTTCAAATGATCCAAAGATCTTGAAAAGGGAATAAAACAACTATGCTACTATTACAAATACGGATAAAATATTAGTAACTAAACAATATTTACTAAAGAAATAAAATAATCATATCCTATTTATAGGTACTTAATACTGACCCCTGTAAACATCCCCCGGCCCCCCAAAAAAGAAAGAAAGTCATACAGAAGAGTCAAATGAAAAGGCTTTAGGAAGAATAGCAAGATGGTCTTGATTCAAATACTTGTGTTGCCAATTATAAGCTAGATCTCATAGCAAGGCAAAATAAAATGCTTTAGCTCCCTACTCCCCGTTAAAAAAAAAAAAGTAAATAAAAGATAATCTACTTTGCAGGGTTTCTTGCTTTAGTAAGAAAAAGGCTGTGCGTGGAATGGAAATAAACATACGGTAGAAATAATAGTTGTTTTTTCCTTGCCATTACTGTGACAGTAAAAAGATTATCTAAAATAACCACTTTTTTGTTTTGTTTTTCCTGGAAAAATATCAGAAACTTTATGGACTGCTTAATATCATTAGATATTAATTCAATTAGATACTGTAAGTCAGCATTTGATTAGGACAGAAAACACAGTAATTTAAACAGGGAAAATTTACTATAAAGAATTATTAACTGTCATAGTAGAGTAACTACAAAGAGAATTTAACCCTAAAGCTAAGGGAGAGTACCACAAGAAGAACTAACGTGGAAGTTGGGTCCTTTCACCAAAGGTGGTATTCAGACCTCACTGGAGAAGGCAGGATTACAGCCCAATGAATAGCAAAGAAGTTTGTTGGACTGCCCAGGCAAAGCTAGACCACAGGCACGCAGGAAACCCTCTGGGCTGCAGCCAGCAAAGGCTGGCAGGCAGGTGGGCAAAGGAAATCAGGGCTTCCAGAGTCAGCTCACTGGCAGGGTGGTACGAGGCCTGGGGCACACAGTGTCTGTGTCAGGAAGGCTGTAGGAGGGCCTCACTGAGACAGAACCAAAGCTATGAGCTCACGGAGGGACTGCATGTGAGTGCACAGCTGGGTTGAACCAAACATCAGCAAAAGCACAGCATCACTGGATGTCCCTGGATCTTACAATAAGCAAGAGCAAGAAAACAATAAATGTAACACATCAGAAACAAAAGAAACCCCATCTTCCTGCAGTGTCCCTGCAACACCCTCTACTGGCATAATTTAATATTGTGCTTGCTGCAAAGAAGAAATGTTTAAAGCTCCATTAATGCAGATCAGCTAAGAGGACAGATTTGGAGCCAAGGGGCAATAACCTGGTAACTGGATAGGATATGGTTAAAATACCCAATCTCTTCTAATTAGCAGCCAGGCTACATATCCAAATTTCTTAAACCAATAAATTAAATGTTTATATTATAGAAGTATACTGTGATTTATAAAAGGATTCAAAAAGAGCTGCAATAGAGGTCTGCAAATTGTACCAATGCCAGTTTCCTAGCTGTGATACTGTACTATGGTTATGTAAGATGTTACCATAGGGGGAAATGGGGAAGCACACATAGAGCATCTCTATACTATTATTGCAATTTCCTGTGCATCTACAATTACTTCAAACTGGAATTTTTTTTAATGAGCTCCAAAACATCTAGAATCAATCAACTTATGAGAACACATTACAGACAACAATATATGTTTTCATTGCTCATATTTTAAAAGTATTTCTTAAAATACAATGCTAAAAACGTAATAGTACTACATCCACATTTAATACTTAAACCATGATGCCGCCTCTCCCCACTGGGTGCCAACAGAAGCCAGCAATGAAAAGATGCTGAAAATTCTGTCCTGATTACAAGTTTCAGTTCAAAGGCTGAGAGTCAGATAGAAGCTTCCAGTTATCCACTCCCCAAATTATTCACCTGAAAATGCCAATAGCTTTCTATCAATTGTCACATGAAATCATTAACAGAGAATAATGAAAGTACTTTTGTATAAGTAAGTAATACCTGTTTTCCTATGGAAAAAGAGAGTTATCCTTCTACTGCCTTAAAAGAAAACACAAAAAGGACAAGTGAGTAAGCTCACAGGGTAGCTTTTAAAATGTTATGCAGAATATGGGTCATCCCACTAATCTATTCCCATTTTCAGGAAAGGGAGGAATGATATCCTCTAAGAGAAATTATTATAACATCTAAAATTCTTTATTTTGCTGTAAAAGTTCATAAACGTACTAATTCACATAAGAGAATAAAACATCCAAATCAGACTGACATCTAGGCAACTTCAAGATAGTAACTTGAGTTTTTACCTAAATAAAACTGTAACAACTTGCTAAGGCAAAAGTAAAAATAAGTACTAAGTAAATCCAGCAAAAGACCCTCAGAATGGTCTAACATCAAGTTAGAGCAGTCAAAAAATAATAAACAATTCAAATTCTACTGTCCATCAAATTTAGTGATGTCAACTCACACTAAAAAACTGTTTCATGAGAAGAAGAGAGTCCCTGGGTGATTTTTTCAGTACTCCTTGTCTAGGATATCTTTTCCTCAAGAAAATAACACAAGGAAAGGTACTATCAATCACCCATGCTACACAGTATGGTTCTTATCACTTCAGTTTCTCATTATATAGTTTGTGCTGCAAGCCGGCAAGCACAAATTGAAAACTGAAGCAAAATTGCTACCAAAAGAGGCACATCACTGAACTCTCCAAATGATCAAACTACATGATCTGATATGATCACTGTCATTTAGAAGTGATGTTTTTCTAATGTATATATAATGATTGTATCCCCCCAAATCAATGTGAGATAGAAGTGGCTCATGGAAATCCTTATTTTCCAACAGTGTTGGCCCATGTTACTCACTGCAAATTGAGTTGTGTGCTTATAACAACTCTAATCATTATATTCTGCTTGCTGTATCACTACTTCATTCTGGTTAGCACAAGTATTAATATGAGGGCAGACCCCTGAGAAGAGTGATAGGACAGACATAAAACCTGGTGCCAAAAATCGCTTCCTGATTACCCTTCCCCAAGGCCTGAAACTACCATTATTGGAACCTCTTCATGTTAAGGAATAATAAAGAGGCCCATTTTCTAAATGTATATGGTATTATTTGTCTTGAATCATTTTATCATGAAATAAGAAGTAATACTTGGCAAAAAAAAAAATCAACTAGACAGAGCACTAATGGCAAAGACTGAAAAAATTTCCCCTTCTCTCACCTTTGGAATATTGAGCATAGCAAACTATTCAAAGCATCCAAGTAGGTGCTAAGTAATAGTGCTAGTAATAGTGCATTTAGGTAACAGTGCTAGTAATAGTGTATTTTAAACACTATCAAGGCTTTAAAAATACATATCAATGTGTTAGTATGCAAGAAATCTTTTGCAATATTTCTGTATGTGGTGATACCAAAACCCATAATAATGGCAGCTAGTCAGAGAGAGAAATGATCACCATTTCTGCTTTGGGAACACCAGAAGAGCCTGACCTCATGTACACACACTTTAACATCTCAGCTGGAGACCCTCAATAAGTAAGCTTTGCCCTACCACTCCTCACACATTTCATATACAATGATCTTGCTTTCTCCTCTTAGTTGTTAATGTCAGCTTTCTCTTCTACAAATTGGCTTTTCTCCCAAGGCACTGAGGGTTTGAAATTTCTGAGCAATCACTTGAATGCCCTAACATCTAAGTTCGCACTTTTAAATTCTGCTGAAAAGATACCAAAGAATACCAATTCATTTATCTTCAAACTGGCTTAATTTTAAACCTAGTATATAATCAAGAATTAATTGGGTTTAGCCTTTAAGAGTACACAGTCAGAAATCAGATGACCCTGGTTTAAATCCTGGCTCTACCAGTTTCTGGCCAAGTAACCAAAGTTACTTAACCTGATTAAACCTCTGTTTCATCATCTATAAAATGGAGTAATAGGCCAGGCGTGGTGGCTTACACCTGTAATCCCAGCACTTTGGGAGGCTGAGGCGGGCAGATCACGAGGTCAGGAGTTCAAGACCAGCCTGACCAATATGGTGAAACCCCATCTTTACTAAACATACAAAAATTAGCCGGGTGTAGTGGCGCATGCCTATAGTCCCAGCTACTCAGGAGGCTGAGGCAGAAGAATTGCTTGAACCCGGGAGGCAGAGGTTGCAGTGAGCCAAGATCACACCACTGCACTCCAGCCTGGGTGACAGAGTGAGACTCTGTCTCAAAAAAAAAAAAAAATGCAGTAATAATAACAGTACCTTCCTCATATGTTAAGAAAAGTTGTTCAATGGCCACCAAATAGTAAGTGTTCATTAAATGTTGGCCATTATTATTGCTCTTTTATATCCAGTTATTAAATAAAGCTTAATATGTGATATCCAACATGGGTAATCAAGAAAAGGAAAAGAATATTAAAAGTTTTCATGACTTGAGAACAGTTTTCATACATTCTTTAAAATACATAGGATTTTATTGGTGCAATGTGCAGTTATTAATTCCATATTACAACAAATTTAGCCAATGCTCTAACTTTATAAACTTTTATATACTTTTTATTGATTTAGTCAAGTATTTAAAAAGAAGCAGTAGAGAGTAAGAATATGTGTTCTAGTACTAGATGTACTTAGTTAAAAAGTAATTTTATAGCCTTGGTCAAGTTATGTAACTTTTGTACCTCAGTTTCCTCAACTGAAAAATGAAGATAATAGTACCTATACCTCAGAAATACCACCTAGAACAGTGCCTGGCACTGAGAAAGTGCTAAGTAAGGAGTAAGTAGCTAAGTATAAAGCTCTGTATTCCAAGCACTATAGTAGATGCTGGGGATTCTGGGATAAACAACATAGTGCTTGTTATCAAAAGGGTCAAGACAGACAACTGCAGTATAATTTGCAAAATATCTAGATATAAACAACCCTTAAACCCTTGGATGCACACAGAAATGGCTTCTTTCATAATATATTTTTCAAAAAAAAAAACAGAATATTGGCCAGGCATGGTGGCTCACACTTGTAATCCCAGCACTTTGGGAGGCTGAGGCAAGAAGATCACTTGAAGCCAGGAGTTTGGGACCAGCCCAGACAACTAAGCGAGACCCCGTCTCTATGAAAGATAAATAAGACAACATAAAATTAGCCCAGAGTAGTGGTGGACACCTGTAGTCCCAGCTACTTGGGAGGCTGAGGCAGGAGGATAGCCTGACCCCAGGAGTTCAAGGCTGCAGTGAGCTATGATCACATCACTGCACTCCAGTCTGGGCAACACAGCGAGGTCCTGTCACCAAAAACAAACAAAAAAAAACCCAGAATGTTGATAATTTTACATAATTTAAATAATGATTTTAAAAATTTTTTAATGATAAATTTTATTTTCTCGTTCAGAAGATAAAAATTATGTAATTTGAAGGATTTTCTTTCACACCAATGCTTTTATATTACAAATTAACTTTGTCAGCAGCAGTTATTAAAGATTTGGGTCAGGCACAGTGGCTCACGCCTATAATCCCAGCACTTTGGGAAGCCAAGCACTTTAGGAAGCCAAGTCAAGATCACTTGAACTCAGGAGTTCAAGACCAGCCTGGGCAGCATAGGGAGACCCCCATCTCTCCAAAAAAAAGATGTTTAATTAGCTAAGAATGATGGCATGTGCCTGTAGTCTCAGCTCCTCAGGAGGCTGAGATGGGAGGATCGCTTGAGCCTAGGCAATGAAAGATGTAGTAAGCCATGATCACACCACTGCACTCCAGGCTGGGTGACAGAGTGAGACCCAGTCTAACAAAAAAGATTCAGAGGTGTTAAGAATTTTCTTGGTAAGGCTGCCACCTGCTGGACTACCTTAAATTCCACTGTTTACAGTCTGATTTAAACATATTAAATACCACATTTAATCCAATGAAATGCAAATGTTTCTTTTACCAATATAGAAAAATCCAAGAATTTACTAAATCTTCTGTATCACAGGTAATTTGGTCTGTTATGCTGAACAAAGTATTGTTTAGGGAAGAGTCATTCACCTGAAGAAATCTTAGTCAATTAACATTTGGATGTTTACAGAGATTATCTGACAGAATCAGTGGAAAAGGAAGCAATGAAATTTAACATGGATTCAGTAATTACTGTTGGATATATGAGTCCAAGGTTGCAAGTGTTAGATATTAGCATCAGCAAAATAGTTGTTAAAATAAAAACAATGTAATTTAGCCATTCCACAAGTATACATATCTCAAAACATGTACACAATAATACAACTCTTCTGTGTCAATTAACAAAGAAATAAAACCAATATAGCATTTATGTATTCAAAGTAACTTTAAAAACAATTGTCCTAATGTGTACAAATGTGTACTCGTGTTTTTGGTAAAATATCCAATGTTAGTAGCATATACTGATTCAAAAGGCATTTTCTCTCAACTCAGGCAGAAGTTGACATAATGTGCTCTGGAAAAAATGCCTTAAAATTATTCAAAAAGTAGTTTTAAGGATGATGAAGATATCAATATTAAAGATTATGAGAGTCTGATAAAATTGTTGTATGAATATAAGGGTGGGCAAAAAGTAACATTTCTAAGTTATTGTTTTGTGTAATATATTTAAATGTGTGTGCAAATGTTCTACCCAGTTAGCAAAGAACATATATATAATTAGGCATTCAACTATTTCACCTATATTTGTCTAGGTTTCTATATTCAAGTTGATCAAACATGGAACTTACTGAGAAAAGGAAGGATTGCATTCCTTTACATTTAGGCACAGTTCAGGCATAATATACCACTTAATCATAAAAGTCCAAGATTTTAAAATAACGCTTATTCAAAGTTAAATTAACTCAATACCTAGTACTTCTTTGTCTGTGTTGCTACAGACTTTTTAAATTGAAAGATGCTTTGTTATGCTAAAAAGGAAGTGCTCAAAAAAATGATGCAGGCATGTCATAAAGATAGGGTTCGAAGGGGCTCCAACTGGTTGATTCTAGGGCAATTTGAACACCAAAATAATCAGGTACTTCAGTCAATTATATAGTACTGGGGGGAGGAGGTGGGGTTAAATTTAGGAATCTATATCAATAACAAGTAGTTAAATGGAAGAAAAGGGAAAGCTCTGGTTTACATCAGAATGCCAAGGACTGAATACAAAATGTAGAGAGAAGGCAAGAGTTGAGAAATTAATCATTTTGCAATCATCATAGTACAGACTAGATCCAACAAGAATCATACAAGAATGTTAAATTAAGGAGGATATTTTGATGAGGAGCAGGATATATTTTCGTGGTTGGTTGTTTTGTTTTGTTTTGTTTTGTTGAGACGGAGTCTCCCTCTGTCACAAGGCTGGAGTGCAATGGCGTGATCTTGGCTCACTGCGACCACCACTTCCCGGGTTCAAGGGATTCTCCTGCCTCAGCCTCCCAAGTAGCTGGGACCACTGGCACCCGCCACCACGCCCAGCTAATTTTTATATTTTTAGTAGAGACGGGGTTTCACCATGTTGGTCAGGATGGTCTCGATCTCTTGACCTCGTGATCTGCCCGCCTCGGCCTCCCAATCTGCTGGGATTACAGGCGTGAGCCACCGCGCCCAGCATATTTTCATGGTCTTAATGTGTTTCCTCACAGACTGCTTACTGGTTGCAAGGAAGAAAAAAAGTAATCATAGTGGGAAGAAATCAGACATCTTAACTATGTAATCAGAATTAACATCATCATCATCAAGGGACAGATGGCTATCTCTGTGATAGCCATCTGCCTCCAGATGTGATACTCTGTGAAGGACATATAAACTATGCAGCAATATATAATCTGAATTTAGTCACAAATATTAAACAAAGCCAAAAATGGGCAATGTTATATTAAAAAGAGGAAAAATGGATGTATTCTCCAAAAACGTCCAAGTCTTAAGAGACAGAGGAAGGCTGTGGAAATGTTCCAGGTTAAAGAAAGCTAAAGACATATGGTAACTAAATGCAATATCTAATCCTGGAATGAATTCTGAACTGGAGTGGGGGAAAGGATATTATTAGGTTAACTGGCAAAATAGGAAGGCAAATGGCAGGTTAGATTAAAAGTTGTGTATGAATGCTAAATTCACGTATGTTGATAAGTATACTGTGGTGATGTAAGCGATATCCCTATTCTTGGAAAACATACACTAAAGCACTTGGAGGAAAGGGCCACGATGTATTTAACTCACTCTTAAAAGTGTTCAGGAAAACAACTGTGTGTGTATAGCGAGTAGCAGGGAGAAGAGAAAGAGAGTGCAAGCTGGGCACAGTGGCTTATGCCTGTAATCCCAGCACTTTGGGAGGCTGAGGCAGGCAGATCATTTGAGGTCAGGAGTTCAAGGCCAGCCTGACCAACATGGTGAAACCCCATCACTACTAAAAATATACAAAATTAGCCAGGCGTTGTAGGGCACACCTGTAATCTCAGCTACACAGAAGGCTGAGGCAGGAGAATAGCTGGAACCTAGGAGGTGGAGGTTGCAGTGAGCCAAGATCAGGCCATGGCACTCCAGCCTGGCTGACAGAGCGAGACTTTGTCTCAAAAAAAGAAAGAGAATGCAAAGCAAATTAGGTAAAATGTCATCAATATCTGAGATTTTGGTAACACTGGTAACACTGAGATATTGGTAACAATCTTGGTAAAGAGTATACAGGTCTTCTCTCTACTAGTTGTATTGTTTTTAACTCTTCTGTAAGTTTGAAATTACTTCCAAATAAAAAGTTTAAAACACTGCTATATATAATGCTTACCCCTAAAAACTAAAAGGTTCCTGTATGCAAAATATAATCATATTCTTTTGGAACTGTAATATTCAACATCAAAAATACGATATCTTCAGCTCTTTTTCATCAATTTTAAGAAAGCCATCAATTTTAAGACTCACCATTATTTTTTGTATCTCATGAAAAAAAGGTGACAACTATAATTATAAGATGCCTCTCAAAAGAAGACATTTATGCGGCCAACAAACATATGAAAAAAAGCTCATCATCACTGGTCATCAGAGAAATGCAAATCAAAACTACAATGAGATACCATCTCACACCAGTTAGAATGGCAATCATTAAAAAGTCAAGAAACAACAGATGCTGGAGAGAATGTGGAGAAATAGGAACACTTTTACACTGCTGGCAGGAGTGCAAATTAGTTCAACCATTGTGGAAGACAGTGTGGTGATTCCTCAAAGATCTGGAACCAGAAATACCATTTGACCCAGCAATCCCATTACTGCGTATATACCTGAAGGATTATAAATCATTCTACTATAAAGACCCATGTACACGTATGTTTACTGCAGCACTATTCACAATAGCAAAGACTTGGAACCAACCCAAATGTCCATCAATGACAGACTGGATAAAGAAAATGTGGCACATATACACCACGGAATACTATGCAGCCATAAAAAAGAATGAGTTCATGTCCTTTGCAGGGACATAGATGAAGCTGGAAACCATCATTCTCAGCAAACTAACACAGGAACAAAAAACCAAACACTGCATGTTCTCACTCATAAGTGGGAGCTGAACGATGAGAACACATGGACACAAGGAGGGTAACATCATACACCGGGGCCTGTCAGGGTTCGGGGGCAAGGGAAGGGAGAGCATTAGGACAAATAGGTAATGCATGTGTGGCTTAAAACCTAGATGATGGGCTGATGGGTACAGTAAACCACCATGGCACAGGTATACCTACGTAACAAACCTGCATGTTCTGCACATGTATCCCAGAACTTAAAGTATTTAAAAAATGCCATCAATTATAAGACAAACTACAATTTCAGAGATGTTCAATATGAAAACACATGCATCTTAAAATTTATAAAAGATGGTTTTTACATATGGCCAAACTTTGCAAGCAATTAAAAACACATGCATGCATCACTGTACCAAGATGCTGAATAAAACTTTTCCTGTTGCCTGGCAGGATTCAAAGATGGGAACAAAGTGGAGCTAGATAGCCTACCTTCTAAAAAAAAAAACAGCAGATAACTGGGGGCCAGATACCTTCTCCTATATTTAAGAGGAACAGAAGTGGCCATGATGCCATCAGCCAGCGCCTCAATTGCCTCCCACCCTCATCCCAGTCTAGAGACTGGAGGGAAGACAGAGGGAATCTATTTATTATTGGAATTTTATTTCCAATAGCACAGATTCCCTAGAATAAGACATAGTATACAGCAGTCTTGATGAAGAGGCTTTTATTTCTCTTGAGCATCACCAACTTCCCTTGCTCCTTGAAGCCAAATAGGCATCTGTATTTCCAGTTTTTGCCACTAAAAATAATACTTCAAAGTTAAATTAATAAACATCCTTTGTTGTTTGACTGAAGTACTGATTGACTTCAGTACTGACTGATAATTGACTGAAGTACCTAATTATTTTGTTGTTCAGATTGCCCAAGAAGTAACCAGTTGAAGCCCCTTCAAACCCTATCTTTAGCATATGCCCCCATCATTTTTTTGAGCACTTCCTTTTTGGCATAACAAAGCAACTTTCAATTTAACAAATATGTAGCAACAAAGACAAAGAAGTACTAGGTATTGAATTAACTTTGAATTAAGTTTATTAATAAACATCCTTACAAATGTCCTTAAATAGTGATACTTTTATTTTGAATAGCACAGATTCCCTAGAATAAGACTTATGTGTCCAATTATAGGTATTAAAATCTTTATATATGTTGCCTAATTGGTTTTCAAAAAGGACATACGTACATTTTACATTTCCATTAACAGTATGAGAATTCCCTTTGCCCCATACCCCCACCATCACTACATATTTTTGCAATCTGATATCTTAAGGTTACTATAATTCGCATTTCCCTGTCTTTTTGTGAATCAGGACCTCTTTACATATGTTTCTTAGCCATCCAGTAGCTTTCCTCTGATCTGTTTATACTCTGACCTGTTTTTCTCCTCTGCTTTCTGCCAATTGTTAAGAAATTTATGTATATTGTAGACATTACCTTTTCCTGTCATCTACATTACGAATATTTTTTCCAGAACTATCATTTCTTGTTGACTTTATTTATATCTTTTGTCCTACCATTCCTTTGTTTTCTGAATAGTTTTCCTGTGAATTGACACACAAGTATATGTGTATGTATTTATATATTTTAAAAATATGTATCTATCTTTTAAAGTTTCTGAAATTCCAGCAGCTAAGTGGAAGAGTAATCGAAAGTGATTGAAAAGTTAAAAGTATTTATGCTGTATGTAAATAAGGAACAAGAAAAAAAGATGTGAACAAACCCAGTTGTAGCAGTTATGACTGAAAAACTAAAACCATTTCATGTTTACTTACCCCAGCAATTGATTTTCAATGAAACCAGTTACATCTAAGTTAAAGTAGAGAAAGTATTATTAATTATCCTCATTTTTAATTGGAGAAAATGAAGTATAGTGAAAAGCCACACTGAGCAATGCATCTGAGACAGTAACAATGTCAATACAAGTTTTTGGTAGCATTTAGGAGCAAGCTGCTTACCTTTCAATAGCTAATTCTTTGTTAGAAAGTTGCTGCACTGTAATCACAACCTTCTTCTCTATTCCTTGCTTTAATTTGAAATAAAATTTATCTCTATCCTTAGGCACAGGGCTGAAATATTCAAAAGGAATAGGAATTACCAATAATCTAATAAAATGATAAAATAACCTATTCCAAGGTTAGAACAAAACAACAAAGTATTTAAGCAACAACACCCTTATTCTTAAGATATACTAAACTCTCACCTTGCCACAGGCAGCAAACTATTAATTTTATTTGACTATAAACTTTATAGTCAGCAACACAGTCATTATTAATTTCTAAATTGAGTTTACAAGAGCCTTATATTTTGTCTGCTAACCAAAGTTAAAAGCAAGATCTTAAAAAAGACAACATGGCCAAGCACGGTGGCTTACGCCTGTAATCCCAGCACTTTGGGAGGCCAAGGCAGGCTGATCACTTGAGATCAAGAGTTTGAGGCCAGCCTGGCCAACATGGTAAAACCCCATCTCTACTAAAAATACAAAAATTAGCTGAGTGGTGGTGCATGCTTGTAGTCCCAGCTACTGGGGAGGCTGAGGCAGGAGAATTGGTTGAACCCAGGAGGCAGAGGTTGCAGTGAGCCAAGATTGCACTGCTGCAATCTTGCCTGGGCGACAGAGCAAGACTCTATCTCCAAAAAAAAAAAAAAAATGACAACATGATAAATTTCAGTTTTAAAACAAATTTAGGAATAATGTTTACTTGAAGTTCTTAAGACTGTCACATGTCTGGTTTAGCTGGTTGGGTGGTCATAAGTGCCTGTAAAACAGTGAAATCCAAAGCAAAGGAAGTGAGAAGAGCATACTTTTAGACACATAGAATTTGAGATGACTGTGATGTATCCATGAATATATAAACAAAAGATGGACAAAGAGATACATAACAGGGACAAGTTAATCAAATTCTAGCCTAGGCTAGACTATTCTTACAAATTAATTCATTAAAATAATCAATGTATAAAATATGGCTTGTCTTATCTAAAAAGAAAAAATATCTTGAGCAACTTTTACATGACCTCAATTTCAATGTCTGTAAAACTACAGATAAAATACCTAGCTAGCAACTACTCTTAGAATTAAAGGCACAGCTAAGGAACAAAGTTGAGCATTAAATAATATAACTGTTTCCTATTAACTGTCTATATCTGAACTGGAGGAAAACATTCTAAATGTACAAAAAAAAAAGAAATGGTTAATTAAGTGGTGGTCAAACCATATATTATCAGTTACTGTTAAAAACAATTTTGATTAGAACACTTAACATAAAGAAAAAAAAAAGGTATATATATACAATTGTGTAAAAATTCCCCTAGAAATAAACAAAGGGAAGAGACCAAATGTTAAAAGTGACTGTGGCTGACAAGATCGTAGTTTTTATTCTACTTTTATTATTTTACTAAATTTTCTACAGTATCAGTATTTTTTAAATCATTAAGAAAATAAGTATCTGACCAAGCGCGGTGGCTCACACTTATAATCCCAGCACTTTGGGAGGCCAAGGAAGGCAGATCACCTGAGGTCAGGAGTTCGAGACAAGCCTGGCCAACGGGGTGAAACCCCGTCTCTCCTAAAAATACAAAAATGAGCCAGGCATGGTGGCAGGCGCCTGTAATCCCAGCTACTTAGGAGGCCGAGGCAGGAGAATCACTGGAACCCAGGAGGCAGAGATGGCAGTGAGTCGAGATCGTGCCATTGCACATGCACACTCCAGCCTGGGTGACAAGAGCGAAACTCCATCTCAAAAAAAAAAGGAAAGAAATATCTGACAAGCACAAGAATAAAAAATATTAATTCACCAGCCAAATATTTATCAGTTTGAGGCTTTATGCCAACACTGTATAGTTTCTTGAAACTTTATATGCGCCTATATTATACTCCAGATACAATGCGAATTTTTAATCTTTCCAAATGCCTCACCTAAAGTTTCCTTTTCCATCGTCTTCTTTTACCTCCAAGGAGACACTGAAGGTAAACACATCACTGTCGGGGGTAGGAATAACTGAGTCTTTAACATCAGACACTTGTCTGGAAGAACGTTTGAATGCTGTACAGAAACTGTACAAAATTCTGCTTACCTAAAAGAATAAAAAAGGAAATACCATTAGGCAAAGGTTTTAATTGCATTCTGATATCCTTCTCTCCTAACTCTTGAATCTACAATTTTCCATGACAATTTTCTTTGGCAGAATATATATTTTTATATATAGTCTAAGTATTTATCATTGTTTAGATATTACATGACAACATTTTCATCACTTGTGCATTAAAAAAAGAGGGAGTAAACAACTGTAGATGGTAAATGTAGACCATCCAAACTCTAAATTATTACAACCTAAAAACTATCATCAATGTGAAGTCCAAGAAGGGAAATATTGAAGAAATATCGCTTAAGAAGTAAATTAACAGAATTTTTTACTTTGAAATTAATAATGGGGTACATTTCACTTCATGGAAACTTAAGTTCAAATCTGAGGAGGGTTTTCAAATATATACAGATAAAGTTCAACACTAAGCACCACCAGCATACATACTGGAGACCAGAAGAGAACTATGATTTAGGAGCTGCAACTAGGATCTGAGCATCTTAAGAATGAAGAAGGGCAAGAGGGCCGGGCACAGTGGCTCCATGCCTGTAATCCCAGCACTTTGGGAGGCCAAGGCAGGCAGATCACAAGGTCAGGAGTTCAAGACCAGACTGGCCAGCATGGTGAAACCCCATCTCTACTAAAAATACAAAAAATTAGCAGGGCATGGTGGTGCACACCTGTAATCCTAGCTACTCGGGAGGCTGAAGCAGGAGAATTGCTTGAACCTGGCAGGTGGAGGTTGCAGTGAGCCATTGCACCACCGCACTCCAGCCTGGGTGACAGAGCAAGACTCTGTCTCCAAAAAAAAAAAAGAAAGAAAGAAAGAAAGAAGGAATTCCTTTTACTTTAAAAAAAAAAAAAGCTATCTTTCAAATATTTGCTTCTCACAACTCTGACATTTAAACATGGTGATAAAGATATTGAACTAATTTAAGTTCACAAAATAAACTGTATTTATTTATAGATATTTCTAGGCTTCAAAATATACAAGAAATTGAATGTATCCTAAGATAATTTACTAAAATGATATTGGTATCTGAATCTTCCCAACACACTCTCACAAACAAGGTTTTGGCCAAGTCTCCAAGTTCTCTCTTCACTTCCCTCAGCCTCAGGGGCTAGATACAGAACCATAGAATAAGGCAAATACTGGCTTTAGCAATACAGTCAGTAACATAAAGAGCTACCAGTATTTTTACTCAATGTTGTTGTGCTATAAGTGTTGGGTTCCCAGAATGAATGCTGAAATGGTCTTATTCTTATCTATTCTATTGGTATTAGGCCACTCTAGTGACTACTTTTATACATACATATATACATATATATGTATATACATATGTGTGTGTATTTGTGTGTATAGCTCATATTCTTTCCTTAAAGTGAAGAAGTACTCTAAATCCAACACTTCTCCAGAAGTTATTCTACTTCTTGGTTCCAAAAGAAGCATCAGATCATCACAAACTTGTGAGCTTGAAGCACCAAAGATTCTCCAAATCTCTCAGCCCACGCATAGGTTGACAAAGAAAACAAGGTGAAATGTGAAGGGTTAAAAAAATATTTTCAATGTGTCACATTGGGAAGTACAGATAAGAAGAATGCTGTGAACATTAATAAATCCCTCACTTTAGATAAAGTGAATTCAAAGTACTTCTTGAACTGTATTAGTCTAGGAATACAATATTTGTAACTTGCTTGAAACAGGAATACTCCCTATAACAGAAGAGTCTGTTAAAGTATGAGGTCTTCTGTTTTCCTTTGTTTTATTCACATATTCTGCCACTTTTTCTTGTACAAGCACACACAGTCTAACACATTCAAAAACTTCCGAATGCCACATTTATACCCATTAACCAATGATTACCCTAAAGTGCCTTCTCAATGCCAAATTAACAGTTTTAACTTTTAACAACTATACAGAAATCCTACCTGCCAGTCTAAAGTTCAACTTCTGCAGTAGCACCATATTTATATCATAATGTTCCCAAAATTTCTTCATTATTTTACCATGCTATCCCCATTTTAATCTTATATGAGTAAAAATTAAAAAAGCAGCAAAAGATTGATGCTAATAAGAACTGTAGGCCTCAAAACTTATATAATTAAGACAATAAACTCATTCATTCAACAAATATTATTTGAGCACCTTCTGCATACCAAGTATTAGTCTAGGTGCCAGAAATACAAGAGAGAACATACAGCCTGTACTCCAGCAAATATTAAGTTGAATGTGCTTGGGGATGGATGAGAGGGAATCATTAGATAAGCTAAAAACAGAAAGGTTCAGCCTCAGCTGGATAGTTACTGGATTTAGCCCAATAATTCAAGTGTTTATAGAGGAAAACAGAACCAAAGAATATGCTAGAAATATGTCATTGAAGACTATGCCTACAAGGTCAAGTGTAAATAGAGACTTTAAACTACTTTTAGTTCTCTGGGTATTCTCCACTTCCTACTCCTAAATGAAATATAAAGTCTACTGTCTGATTTTTATACATTTAACTTCAGTGTATATTTAGTTTTGTTTTAAGGAGCAGGGAGTTTAATAGGCAAGAAACAAGGGCAAAAAAAAAGCGGCTCCCCATACAGAGACAGAGGGAGAGGGGCTCCAAAGCCAAGAGACAGAACACCACCTGCCATGCATACTAACCAGGTATATATGCAGAGGCTGGAGGACGTGATGTCTGATTTGCATAGGGCTCATGGGATGGGTTTGACTAGGCATGCAATTCACGTAGCAGGTGGAAAAAGCTGGCCCTCCCACCCTAGCTTTTCATATGCAAATGCAGGGCACCATGATGCTCTCCACACGCAAGGATATGTGTGGGCAGCCATGTTGCCAGGAACATGTGGGGCAAGGGCAAGAAGGCCCTGGGAATTGCCATGTTGGGTGGACCCGGTTTCTAATGGCTACCATTTGTATATTATAGGTTGCTGGCCTGGCTCTAAGAGCTGGGGCTTTACAAGAAACTTTTCCAGAGATGCTTTAAAAAATGAAAATTTCCCAAGGATCCCTTTTCATCTCTATATGCCTAAAATAATTTCTTAATAACTCCTACAACATTCCCCACTGTGGAGATGCCACACTAACTGCTGTTAGGGGGTTTTGGGCCATGACTCTTTCTGGCTACTCCCGGACTTAAGCGTATTTTTAAGAAAGCACTGTATGTGAAAACAGGAGAACACCTGTATGTAATTTTGCATACATTGGTAGTTAAACCCCAGCCATATTTATTCTTTTTTCCCCTTTCTCATCTCTTCTTTTTCACATTCTTTATGTCAGATCAGCCAGCTTGTCACATCAGAAGGCCATATCAAAAAAAGTCAAAGAACTTGGCAAATTCTAAAGCATCTGGCAAGGCTTCAAAAAATTCTTTATAGAAAGGTTAAGCGTATGGAGCTGAGCCAGAGTGATACAGAATGATGGAGAAAAAAAAATAAGATTCCATCTATCTCTCTTTTGGAGAAAGAACACGACAGTACATTAATTTCATTAACAGCAATCAAATTGCATTTAATACTATGTCTTACAAGCTGCCATTTCTACCAAAAGAGTTAAAATATATTGTGAATTCTAGAGTCTGTGAATAAGCTGAAACAGTAATCCAAGAATTAACAAGATAAACTTCAGAAACAATGACTATCAGTATCTTATAACAAACTGGATAACCAATTACAGTTGTCCTTTGGTACCCATGGGGAATTGTTTCTAGGACCCCCCAAAACTCCCAGATACCAAAATGCATAGATGTTTAAGTCCCTTATATAAAACTGTGTAATATTCCATATAGCCTACACACATCTTTCCATATACTTTAATCTCTAAATTACTTATAATACCTAATAGAATATAAATGCTATGTGAATGGTTTTTATACTGTATCTTTTAGGGACTAATGACAAGGAAAAAAGGCTATAGATATTCAGTACAGATGAAACCATACATTTTTATCAAATATTTTAAAGCCATGGTTAGTTGACTCCATGGATGTAGAATCCACAAATATAGTGGGCTAACTGTACATCAAGAAAGGAAATTAAAAACACATACCATGGCAAACACTTCAATACATGTCACACTTATTAAAACACATACACACAAATAGTCTTGAATGGGCATTTCTTTGCAGAAGGAAAAGGTTTATTGATAAATAATACAATCTTTCTCCAGAAAACAGTATCTATAGAAAATACTAAACACAAAACTGTATATCTGTTTGAGTTTGTTGCTGTTGTTTTTGAAGAGGCAGGGAGGAGAGCACATGTAGATATCTGGAATGGAGATACACCAAAATCTTAACTGCGGCGGAATTTTAAGCACCTTTTATTTTCTTTTTTATTTCAATATTTTCCAAATTCTCAAATATGTATTACATCTTAAAAGTCCAAACACTGTTATTAAGTAACAAAGGTATTTATTTAAAATAAATAACATAGCTAGTTTCTCCAAGATGAAGTCTTTTCATTAATACTGGTGAAAGATAACTCACTCTTTTGGAAACACCATATATCAAGAAAATGTTCACCCAAGGCCAGGCATGGTGGCTCACACCTGTAATCCCAGCACTTTGGGAGGCTGAGGCAGGTGGATCATTTGAGGTCAAGAGTTCAAGACCAGCCTGGCCAACATGGTGAAACCCCGTCTCTATTAAAAACGCAAAAATTAGCCAGGCGTGGTGGCATGTGCCTGTAATCCCAGCTACTCAGGAGGCTGAGGCAGAAGAATCGTTTGAACCCAGGAGGTGGAGATCATAGTGAGCCGAGATCACGCCACTGCACTCCAGCCTGGGAGACAGTGAGACTCTGCCTCAAAAAAAAAAATAAAAAGTTCACCCAAGAAATAAATGTGAAAAATCATTCTATGAAAGGCACCTTGAAAGGTATGTATTAAAATTTTTAAAACAGCTAGCTCAAATACATTATTCATGGGAAGGAGCTAAAATAAGAGGCACACTACCAGGAAACTTTTTTAAAATCATAAAAATCAATTGATTTAAGGAAAACACTAACAAGATAACTTCGAATTATCTTCCAAAATGAGGCATTTAGCTAACATAACAATTAAATAAATACTTGTTTAGAAATGATATTCTCCACTGGGTGTGGTGGCTCACGCCTGTAATCCCAGCACTTTGGGAAGCCCAGGCAGGTGGATCACCTGAGGTCAGGAGTTTGAGAGCAGCCTGACCAACATGGTGCAACCCTGTCTCTACTAAAAATACAAAATTATCCAGGTGTGGTGATGCATGCTTGTAATCCCAACTACTTGGGAAGCTGAGGCTGGAGAATCACTTGAACCCAAGAGGTGTAGGTTGCAGTAAGCCGAGATCACGCCATTGCACTCCAGCCTTGACAACAAGAGTGAAACTCCATCTCAAAGAAAAAGAAATTTTCCCATGCAAGGAACACGTTTTCTTTTATACAGTGTCATATCTGCAACCCCAAGAAAAAACAATGCAATAAGAATAAGTATCTTCCCAATGATGCCCTTGATATTTATCAAGAAGTATCTCTGAATGCCTTTAACACCAGATGACAAAAAACATGCTTCCATAATGTAACAGAGTTTCTAATACTGAATAGTATCCTAAAACACACAAATATCATCAAAATCTGCTTTGCATAGAATGGTTACACTGGCTAGTAGAAATAAAATCTTAGAAAGACTCAATTAACACTTTAAAAGTATCTTTTGAAAGTTTTATATAATATATCCAAAAAGATGTGACAAGAACAGGTGCCTCCTTGTATTTTTTTCACTACACTTTCTGATACCTTGCTTGGTCTGCAATTCTTCAGCAGAAGCCTAGCATATCATTCTCCTTATACAAAGATCATTGACCTCAAGATACTTCTGGTTGGATTGTCCAACTCTTTTGCCATAGATTATTGAAATCTACTAAAGCACAGTCCTGCAGAAGCACATCCAAGTGTTGCAAGTCAAATGTGTCCTAACCCTTCTGTGGGACCTCCCAATCCTTGTGTCACAGGTGTTCAAGAGGGCCATCACCCTCACTGGGATTCCCTTCTACCATTGTTGATGCCTGCAGTTTGAGGGATTTTATAGTGAAATAAGCATCACAGTGACAGTAGTGGCAGCCATGCTGCTACTCCTGCTTCAGAAATCTTCCTTTAACGACAAACCTCTTCAGCTCTCATCCACGAACTCTGCGAAAATAAAAATAAAAAATAAATTTGTGGCATTGCTGCACAGTACATACTTAAGCAGTAAGAATGTTTGTCAGCTGGTTCCTGAACTATCTGCCAACTGTTTGTGCCCATCAAGAGGCACTCAAATACTAACGACTAAAGGTGTTTATCAAAGAACAGAAAACTTCTGGGAACCAGACAACCGGATGACCAGTAAATGTAACTAGAAGACTTCAGATTAATTACAACCATAATTATTTTGTAGGGCAGAGAGGAAGATGTTGGACATCTTCTGCAAAAGGGCCAGGTAAAATACAAAACGTAAATGGAATGCAAGCTATGTTACCAATAAATCCCTTTATAAAACATAACTAAAATACAAAAATCCACATTTGTGTTTTATAATATGTAAGCAACAGGAAAGTTGTTACTGAAAACTGTATGGCTCTTCAAAGTCAAAGACTTCAACTTAAAACCCAGCTCTATCACCCAGTCTCTTAGCCACAGGATAAACAAAGGGTAACCAAACAATTTATCATCCAAACCACAACACTTTTGAGAATAAAAATGAGGGTATTAGTAAAAACCTGGACAATAAGCATAAAATAGAACTGCTCCAGGCAAAGAGAAACATAAAGTCACTTGTCTAATAAGTCCAACCTGGTCACGGGCTGTTATGAGTATCAAATGAACGCTTAGCACAGTGCCTGGCATAAGCTCTCTATTTATATTGGGTTATTCCTCATTTAGAACTGATGTGTCATTCATTACCTGGAGGAGGATTTTTAAAATTTTTTTTAAAAAGAAATAATGTCTCATAATAAGGTTTAATGACCACTGTCATGTATTTCTCCTTCAAACAATATATTTTACCACTAATGCCCCCATAATGTAATACTTTCTAAAATGCACTCAAAAAATTAAATAATAGATGGAGATAACTTTCTTACAACGTGCAATGGAAAAAATATGCTCTATAGAAACAGCATTTATTTAATACTATATCCAAAATGGTCTGGCCAAGAACTTCCCAGGGTTTCTTCCACTACTTACCTACCATGATAAGCTCTCAAAAATAAACACTTCCCCTACTCTAAACCCAAGTGAATGCTACAATCCAAAAGACAGTTTCATACCATTAGTTATGGAAACTTCTTGCAGCAATTCAGTATCCTTCTGCAGCAGCATTTCTCTCTCTCCAAGCAGCAGATTTTCCAGGTCTTCAAAGCTCATTTCCTTGCTGTTGAGCTCCAGTGATTCGGAAATCACACAGGTGGGTTAAATGATGGCTGCCAACATGAAATGCCAGGATTCTACCATCTGCTTCCCCACCTCTGTAGTGGAGTTCGTAAGGATCAGAAATAGCCCCCCTCATTCACAGAAACATACATATTCCTTCAGCATATTTATATTCACTGTCTACTATATGCTAGGCACACTAGCAGCATACTTATACTCATTCACTCTCCTGTCTATCAGACCATTTTGAACAAGAAGTCAGTATACACATAGATATGTAAGTGCTGGGAAAAAAATAGATAAAGCCTTATCTAAAAAACAAAACACAAAACTTCAACTTCTTTCAGAAGGCATGGGTTCTGATAGAGAATTTCTACAGTTACAATCTAAATTATATGTGTCTGTGCATGTTCAGTTTAGTGTAAAGCAAACTGATCACCAGGGCACAAGAACTGACATAGCCATCATGCTTTGTATCAAACTCACAGAAATCCATATTTCCATTAATTCCCATTTTGTCGCCAGAAATAAACTCAAAACTCCTGTTAATAGAATGATTTATTCATGTTTCATGATAGAGGCTAGAATAACTATTGCTTTCAGCATTTTCTGCTGATAATTTATTTTGTCACAAGCAAACATACCTGAGACATTGCCATCCACACCCATTTATGAATGCCTTTGAAATGGTTTTAAGTACTAAGTGTCTAACAGTGCAACATTTTAAAATTGGGGATAATTCAATAGATGTAGAAAAGATTTCCCTATGTAATTAACTGCATTTAATCTAAACCATTTCTCCTAACAATAATCTACCAATTAGTAATTTCTATAAAAAAACTTACTAGCATTTTCAAAGGACTACAAGTTGTTATACCTGCTTTAAGTGAGCATTTGTAATTTTATTTAAGCCAGTTCTCTGGAGCAAAATATAGCCTCTGAGCAAGAAAGCACAAAACAAATAATCATCAATGAAAACCACAGAGATTGATAAAATAATCTTAATGCAATATCTAAATGAAAGCAATATGCAACTATCAAGCCCATCAGAGAAACAGGTATCGTTATAGGCACTTTTTAAAATCACATGGACCAATCTACTAGGGCAAAATAATAAGAGAGCTGCAAAAATAGTCTCCCTTCTGAGCATAAGCAATTTACTACCATGGTAAGGTGGAAAGGCAACTCATCCAGTTGTATTTTTCTACGACAACTGCTAAGCTGTGAGAGTGCCCTACCTATGCAGATATACCAGACTTGGCTTTCCACATTCAGTTCTATGTCATTACAAATATTAATTTTGTCTTTAGAAACATACTCCAAATTTATGTAACATATTTATACAACAGTGAAATTAGAGCTCAAAAATATTACCCTAATTCATCTCTATAGCAAATTGCTATACTATATTATACTTACTGCCTCTTTAATTTCACAGGAGAAAACATGTATCTGAAATTCTTCCGAACCATGGGAACTCTCTGTAAATGCAAAGCAATTGCTCTCTGTTGTTCCGTCATGTCCACGTGCACAGAATAACACCTTATAGATTGGAAAAGATGCTATCTCCACATTGCTGGATTGGTCTATAATTCTGTAGAACAGTAATGAAAAGTTAGATAAAATATTAATTCTCGAAGAACAAAGACATATTTCCAGTTAGGTTTTTTTTTTTAAAAAAAAAGAACAAATAGTTTTACTATGACAATATATGATATATAAAATAACTATCTTTTTTGTTTTGTTTTGTTTTGTTTGAAACAGAGTTTTGCTCTTTCCCCCAGGCTGGAGTGAAGTGGCCCCATCTTGGCTCATTGCAACCTCCACCTCCCGAGTTCAAGCGATTCTCCTGCTTCAGCCTCCCAAGTACCTGGGATAACAGGTGCCTGCCATCACACCCGGCTAATTTTTGTATTTCTTGTAGAGACAGGGTTTTGCCATGTTAGCCAGGCTAGCCTTGAACTCCTGACCACAGGTGACCCCCCGCGTTGGCCTCCCAAAGTGCTAGGATTACAGGCGTGAGCCCCCGCATCTGGCCAAACATAACTATCTTAAAAATCACAAAAATAAACTGGAACTAACAATGCAAGAGAGAACAACTTGTCTTCATATTCACAACACACACACACACACACACAAACACACACATACACATAAATTCTTTATTATCTTCTCACAATTTCTTCATTCTTGTGTTTCCTATGAACCAACTCATTTACTCCAAAGCTAAGTATACGTGCCTGGTAACATCTCTATCACCCATCCCTAAATCTAGTCTTTTTCAATTATGGCAAAAGGAATGCCAATCTAGAATAGTATAGACTATTCCTGGAGAGCCCACTTCTATACAGAGCAGCACCTATTAGTTTATCTAAGCCCTAATTCATTGTTCAACTGAGGCCCTTTCTACCACAGAAAAGGTCAGGTGGTTCCAAAGATGAATTCAACAACGGAATACAAAAGCTGAAAGGAGTCTGGGATTTGGAAGCAAATAATTATCTGACTTTCCCTACACAAATCCTAAGTCCTGGTTGGGCGCAGTGGCTCACGCCTGTAATCCCAACACTTTAGGAGGTCGAGATGGGTGGATCACTTGAGGTCAGGAGTTCAAGACCAGTCTGACCAACACGGTGAAATCCCATCTCTTCTGATAAATACAAAAATCAGCCAGGCATGGCGGTGGGAACCGGTATTCCCAGCTATTCAGGAGGCCGAGGTATGAGAATCGCTTGAACCCAGGAGGCAGATGTTTCAGTGCACCAAGATCGTGCCACTGCACTCCAGCCTGGGGAACAGAGTGAAACTGTGTCTCAAAAACAAAAACAAACACAAAAACAAAAACAAAACAAAACAAAACAAATCCTAAGTCCTGGACTGATCTACACATTCAAGACCCCTTCAAGATCTCAAATTTAGAAACTGAGGGTAAGGGGACAACCCCAGGAATAAAGAGGCAAGTCAAAACACTAAATCTCTGTCAAGGTGTGTTTGGCAAATTGAAGCTAAACAGATAGCATAGAAGACACTTTGAAAACAATTTTTCTTTAAAAAGACATTTTGACATTTTTAGACGATAACATATAAACAATATACATGCAAACCCTTTCCTGAAAAATTCAAAGCATTTTTACCAAAATTTTCTAAATTTATATTGCCAATATTTTGGTACTTGGAATTTAGCAAAAGTTTTCCCACATTCTAAACTTTAGAGAATGAGGCAAATCAGAAAGGGTTTTTAAAAGATTAAAGCAACTTTCAGAGAATATTCCAGGCTCCAGACAAATTCAACCTCATTTCCTTGACCTGGTCTGCTTATTTGTTCATTCAGCAAATATTTGCTAAAATCTTACAATGAATCACTTACTTCCCTAGCCACTGAAGCTACAGCAGGGAAAAATATAAAGAAACTATTCTCACAAGCTTATAATCTAGTGAGGAAGATATCCAATAAACCAATAAGCAAATAAATATAATATCAATTCAAAGAAAAGTGCTACGAAGGAAAAAAAAATGGCCCAGTATGAGGAAAGAGAGTTACATGATATAACCAAGGAAGGCTTCTTATGATAAAATGTTTACTAAGATGAAACAAAAAGCATTGGAAAATCAGGGAAAGATTTACTTAGGGAGTATAAAGATAATATGCCAAGGTCCTGGGGCGGGAAATATGACTGGTAAGTCCTATAAGAATGAATACAGAGGCTAGTATAACTGGAATGTAGTGAATGAAGACAGAGAAAGGGAGAGGAAAGTGGTACTAACAATGCAAGTAAACAAATTATCGAAGAGGAGCCAAGATGGCCGAATAGGAACAGCTCCGGTCTACAGCTCCCAGCGTGAGCGACGCAGAAGACGGGTGATTTCTGCATTTCCATCTGAGGTACCGGGTTCATCTCACTAGGGAGTGCCAGACAGTGGGCGCAGGCCAGTTGGTGCGCGCACGGTGCGCGAGCCGAAGCAGGGCGAGGCATTGCCTCACCTGGGAAGCGCAAGGGGGCAGGGAGTTCCCTATCTGAGTCAAAGAAAGGGGTGACGGACACACCTGGAAAATCGGGTCACTCCCACCCGAATATTGCGCTTTTCAGACCGGCTTAAAAAAGGGCGCACCACGAGACTATATCCCACACCTGGCTTGGAGGGTCCTACGCCAACGGAATCTCGCTGATTGCTAGCACAGCAGTCTGAGATCAAACTGCAAGGCGGCAGCAAGGCTGGGGGAGGGGCGCCCGCCATTGCCCAGGCTTGCTTAGGTAAACAAAGCAGCCGGGAAGCTCGAACTGGGTGGAGCCCACCACAGCTCAAGGAGGCCTGCCTGCCTCTGTAGGCTCCACCTCTGAGGGCAGGGCACAGACAAACAAAAAGACAGCAGTAACCTCTGCAGACTTAAATGTCCCTGTCTGACAGCTTTGAAGAGAGCAGTGGTTCTCCCAGCACGCAGCTGGAGATCTGAGAACGGGCAGACTGCCTCCTCAAGTGGGTCCCTGACCCCTGACCCCCGAGCAGCCTAACTGGGAGGCACCCCCCAGCAGAGGCACACTGACACCTCACACTGCAGGGTATTCCAACAGACCTGCAGCTGAGGGTCCTGTCTATTAGAAGGAAAACTAAAAACAGAAAGGACATCCACACCAAAAACCCATCTGTACATCACCATCATCAAAGACCAAAAGTAGATAAAACCACAAAGATGGGGAAAAAACAGAACAGAAAAACTGGAAACTCTAAAACGCAGAGCGTCTCTCCTCCTCCAAAGGAACGCAGTTCCTCACCGGCAACGGAACAAACCTGGATGGAGAATGACTGACGAGCTGAGAGAAGAAGGCTTCAGACGATCAAATTACTCTGAGCTACGGGAGGACATTCAAACCAAAGGCAAAGAAGTTGAAAACTTTGAAAAAAATTTAGAAGAATGTATAACTAGAATAACCAATACAGAGAAGTGCCTAAAGGAGCTGATGGAGCTGAAAACCAAGGCTCGAGAACTACGTGAATAATGCAGAAGCCTCAGGAGCCGATGCGATCAACTGGAAGAAAGGGTATCAGCAATGGAAGATGAAATGAATGAAATGAAGTGAGAAGGGAAGTTTAGAGAAAAAAGAATAAAAAGAAATGAGCAAAGCCTCCAAGAAATATGGGACTACGTGAAAAGACCAAATCTACGTCTGATTGGTGTACCTGAAAGTGATGGGGAGAATGGAACCAAGTTGGAAAACACTCTGCAGGATATTATCCAGGAGAATTTCCCCAATCTAGTAAGGCAGGCCAACGTTCAGATTCAGGAAATACAGAGAACGCCACAAAGATACTCCTCGAGAAGAGCAACTCCAAGACACATAATTGTCAGATTCACCAAAGTTGAAATGAAGGAAAAAATGTTAAGGGCAGCCAGAGAGAAAGGTCGGGTTACCCTCAAAGGGAAGCCCATCAGACTAACAGCGGATCTCTCGGCAGAAACCCTACAAGCCAGAAGAGAGTGGGGGCCAATATTCAACATTCTTAAAGAAAAGAATTTTCAACCCAGAATTTCATATCCAGCCAAACTAAGCTTCATAAGTGAAGGAGAAATAAAATACTTTACAGACAAGCAAATGCTGACAGATTTTGTCACCACCAGGCCTGCCCTAAAAGAGCTCCTGAAGGAAGCGCTAAACATGGAAAGGAACAACCGGTACCAGCCGCTGCAAAATCATGCCAAAATGTAAAGACCATCGAGACTAGGAAGAAACTGCATCAACTAATGAGCAAAATCACCAGCTAACATCATAATGACAGGATCAAATTCACACATAACAATATTAACTTTAAATGTAAATGGACTAAATGCTCCAATTAAAAGACACAGACTGGCAAATTGGATAAAGAGTCAAGACCCATCAGTGTGCTGTATTCAGGAAACCCATCTCACGTGCAGAGACACACATAGGCTCAAAAATAAAAGGATGGAGGAAGATCTACCAAGCAAATGGAAAACAAAAAAAGACAGGGGTTGCAATCCTAGTCTCTGATAAAACAGACTTTAAACCAACAAAGATCAAAAGAGACAAAGAAGGCCATTACATAATGGTAAAGGGATCAATTCAACAAGAAGAGCTAACTATCCTAAATATATATGCACCCAATACAGGAGCACCCAGATTCATAAAGCAAGTCCTGAGTGACCTACAAAGAGACTTAGACTCCCACACATTAATAATGGGAGACTTTAACACCCCACTGTCAACATTAGACAGATCAACGAGACAGAAAGTCAACAAGGATACCCAGGAATTGAACTCAGCTCTGCACCAAGCAGACCTAATAGACATCTACAGAACTCTCCACCCCAAATCAACAGAATATACATTTTTTTCAGCACCACACCACACCTATTCCAAAATTGACCACATAGTTGGAAGTAAAGCTCTCCTCAGCAAATGTAAAAGAACAGAAATTATAACAAACTGTCTCTCAGACCACAGTGCAATCAAACTAGAACTCAGGATTAAGAAACTCACTCAAAATCACTCAACTACATGGAAACTGAACAACCTGCTCCTGAATGACTACTGGGTACATAACGAAATGAAGGCAGAAATAAAGATGTTCTTTGAAACCAACGAGAACAAAGACACAACATACCAGAATCTCTGGGACACATTCAAAGCACTGTGTAGAGGGAAATTTATAGCACTAAATGCCCACAAGAGAAAGCAGGAAAGATCCAAAATTGACACCCTAACATCACAATTAAAAGAACTAGAAAAGCAAGAGCAAACACATTCAAAAGCTAGCAGAAGGCAAGAAATAACTAAAATCAGAGCAGAACTGAAGGAAATAGAGACACAAAAAACCCTTCAAAAAATCAATGAATCCAGGAGCTGGTTTTTTGAAAGGATCAACAAAATTGATAGACCGCTAGCAAGACTAATAAAGAAAAAAAGAGAGAAGAATCAAATAGACACAATAAAAAATGATAAAGGGGATATCACCACCGATCCCACAGAAATACAAACTACCATCAGAGAATACTACAAACACCTCTACTCAAATAAACTAGAAAATCTAGAAGAAATGGATACATTCCTCGACACATACACTCTCCCAAGACTAAACCAGGAAGAAGTTGAATCTCTGAATAGACCAATAACAGGAGCTGAAATTGTGGCAATAATCAATAGTTTACCAACCAAAAAGAGTCCAGGACCAGATGGATTCACAGCCAAATTCTACCAGAGGTACAAGGAGGAACTGGTACCATTCCTTCTGAAACTATTCCAATCAATAGAAAAAGAGGGAATCCTCCCTAACTCATTTTATGAGGCCAGCATCATTCTGATACCAAAGCTGGGCAGAGACACAACCAAAAAAGAGAATTTTAGACCAATATCCTTGATGAACATTGATGCAAAAATCCTCAATAAAATACTGGCAAACCGAATCCAGCAGCACATCAAAAAGCTTATCCACCATGATCAAGTGGGCTTCATCCCTGGGATGCAAGGCTGGTTCAATATACACAAATCAATAAATGTAATCCAGCATATAAACAGAGCCAAAGACAAAAACCACATGATTATCTCAATAGATGCAGAAAAAGCCTTTGACAAAATTCAACAACCCTTCATGCTAAAAACTCTCAATAAATTAGGTATTGATGGGACGTATTTCAAAATAATAAGAGCTATCTATGACAAACCCACAGCCAATATCATACTGAATGGGCAAAAACTGGAAGCATTCCCTTTGAAAACTGGCACAAGACAGGGGTGCCCTCTCTCACCACTCCTATTCAACATAGTGTTGGAAGTTCTGGCCAGGGCAATCAGGCAGGAGAAGGAAATAAAGGGTATTCAATTAGGAAAAGAGGAAGTCAAATTGTCCCTGTTTGCAGACAACATGATTGTATATCTAGAAAACCCCATTGTCTCAGCCCAAAATCTCCTTAAGCTGATAAGCAACTTCAGCAAAGTCTCAGGATACAAAATCAATGTACAAAAATCACAAGCATTCTTATACACCAACAACAAACAAACAGAGAGCCAAATCATGAGTGAACTCCCATTCACAATTGCTTCAAAGAGAATAAAATACCTAGGAATCCAACTTACAAGGGATGTGAAGGACCTCCTCAAGGAGAACTACAAACCACTGCTCAAGGAAATAAAAGAGGATACAAACAAATGGAAGAACATTCCATGCTCATGGGTAGGAAGAATCAATATCATGAAAATGGCCATACTGCCCAAGGTAATTTACAGATTCAATGCCATCCCCATCAAGCTACCAATGACTTTCTTCACAGAATTGGAAAAAACCACTTTAAAGTTCATATGGAACCAAAAAAGAGCCCGCATTGCCAAGTCAATCCTAAGCCAAAAGAGCAAAGCTGGAGGCATCACACTACCTGACTTCAAACTATACTACAAGGCTACAGTAACCAAAACAGCATGGCACTGGTACCAAAACAGAGATATAGATCAATGGAACAGAAAAGAGCCCTCAGAAATAATGCCGCATACCTACAACTATCTGATCTTTGACAAACCTGAGAAAAAGAAGCAATGGGGAAAGGATTCCCTATTTAATAAATGGTGCTGGGAAAACTGGATAGCCATATGTAGGAAGCTGAAACTGGATCCCTTCCTTACACCTTATACAAAAATCAATTCAAGATGGATTAAAGATTTAAACGTTAGACCTAAAACCATAAAAACCCTAGAAGAAAACCTAGGCATTACCATTCAGGACATAGGCGTGGGCAAGGACTTCATGTCCAAAACACCAAAAGCAATGGCAACAAAAGACAAAATTGACAAATGGGATCTAATTAAACTAAAGAGCTTCTGCACAGCAAAAGAAACTACCATCAGAGTGAACAGGCAACCTACAAAATGGAAGAAAATTTTCACAACCTACTCATCTGACAAAGGGCTAATATCCAGAATCTACAATGAACTCAAACAAATTTACAAGAAAAAAACAAACAATCCCATCAAAAAGTGGGCGAAGGACATGAACAGACACTTCTCAAAAGAAGACATTTATGCAGCCAAAAAACACATGAAAAAATGCTCATCATCACTGGCCATCAGAGAAATGCAAATCAAAACCACTATGAGATACCATCTCACACCAGTCAGAATGGCAATCATTAAAAAGTCAGGAAACAACAGGTGCTGGAGAGGATGTGGAGAAATAGGAACACTTTTACACTGTCGGTGGGACTGTAAACTAGTTCAACCATTGTGGAAGTCAGTGTGGCGATTCCTCAGGGATCTAGAACTAGAAATACCATTTGACCCAGCCATCCCATTACTCGGTATATACCCAAATGACTATAAATCATGCTGCTATAAAGACACATGCACACGTATGTTTATTGCAGCATTATTCACAATAGCAAAGACTTGGAACCAACCCAAATGTCCAACAATGATAGACTGGATTAAGAAAATGTGGCACATATACACCATGGAATACTATGCAGCCATAAAAAATGATGAGTTCATGTCCTTTGTAGGGGCATGGATGAAATTGGAAATCATCATTCTCAGTAAACTATCGCAAGAACAAAAAACCAAACACCGCATATTCTCACTCATAGGTGGGAAGTGAACAATGAGATCACATGGACACAGGAAGGGGAATATCACACTCTGGGGACTGTTGTGGGGTGGGGGGAGGGGGGAGGGATAGCATTGGGATATATACCTAATGCTAGATGACGAGTTAGTGGGTGCAGTGCACCAGCATGGCACATGTATACATATGTAACTAACCTGCACAATGTGCACATGTACCCTAAAACTTAAAGTATAATAAAAAAAAAAATTATCTTCATATTCTTGCACATCTTACACACATACACACAAATCTGCATCTTCTTTTGATGAATGAAGAGAGAGAAGGGAGGAGGGAGACAGAAGGACAGAAAGAGAGAGAGAAGGGAGTCCTCTTGAATAAGAGTAGTATCCTTATAAAAGAAACCCCAGAGAGCTCTTACACTCTCTTCCACCATGTAAGAACACATGAACCAGGAAGCAGGCCCTCACCAGACACCAAATATGCTGGAGCTTTGATCTAGGAACTCCCAACCACGAGAACTGTGAAAAATAATTATCTGTTGTATGTAAACCACCAGTCTATGGCAGTTTGTTACAGCAGCCCAAACAGGCTAAGAAGAAAAGAAGGAAGGACGAAGAGGGGAAGAACAAGTTGGAGCAGTAGGTCAACAGTGCCTAACCATGATAAGGATTTCAAATATAACCACAAGTGTGACTGAGGGAAAGGCCGAATGTAGGAGAATAACATTATCTGACTTATTTTTTTTTTTTTTTGAGATGGCGTCTTGCTCTGTCGCCCAGGCTGGAGCGCAGTGGCACGATCTCTTGGGTTCACACCATTCTCCTGCCTCAACCTCCCGAGTAGCTGGGACTACAGGCGCCCGCCACCATGCCCAGCTAATTTTTTGTATTTTTAGTAGAGACGGGGTTTCACCGTGTTAGCCAGGATGGTCTCGATCTCCTGACCTCGTGATCCACCCACCTCGGCCTTCCAAAGTGCTGGGATTACAGGCTTGAGCCACCGCGCCCGGCCACTTTTTTTTTTTTTTAATTGAGATGGGGGTCTCTGTCACCCAGACTGGAGTGCAGTGGCATGATCTCGGCTCACCGCAACCTCCATCTCCCGAGTTTGAGCGATTCTCCTGCCTCAGCCTCCCAAGCAGCTGGGATTACAGGCGTGTGCCACCACACGTGGCAAATTTTTGTATTATTTTGCCCAGGCTGGTTTCGAACTCCTGACCTCAAGTGATTCACCCACCTCAGCCTCCCAAAGTGCTGGGATTGCAGGTGTGAGCCACCACACCTGGCCCTGACTTACATTTAAAGAAACTAAAGGTTCAGCTGAGGTAATGTATTATTCCTAATTAAGCATAAGAGGAAAAAGCCATTTTGCTTCTTTCCAGTCTAATGTAAATAACTTAAAATCTATGGCTCACTCCAGTTTCTTTCAACCACTATTACTTCAGAAGCTGAAGGCAGATTTTTATGCTCATTCAGGATAGAGAAATAAATATTACAAGTATTTTTACCGTTTTATTTCTATTTATAATATTCTAAGCGTAATTGTTGATATGGGTTTGGATCTGCGGCTCCGTCTAAATCTCATGTCAAATTGTAATCTCCAATGTTGGAGGTGGGGCTGGTGAAAGGTGATTGGATCATGGGAACAATTTCTTATGAATGGTTTAGCACCATCCCCTCGGTGCTGTTCTCATGATAGCTGTTCTCATGAAACCTGGTTGTTTAAAAGCGTGTGGCACCTCCCCCTTCTCGCTCTTGCTCCTGCTCCTGCCACGTAAGACAATTCTGCTTCCCCTTGCCTTCTGCCATGATTTTAAGTTTCCTGAGGCCTCCCCTCCTGAGGCCTCCCTCCCAGAAGCTGAGCAGATGGCCAGCATCATGTTTCCTATACACCCTGCAGAACCAAGAGCCAGTTAAACCTCTTCTCTTTATCAATTATCCAATCTCAGATATTTCTTTATTGCAGTGCAAGAATAGACTAATACAATTGTTCAAATGCCCCTTTCAAACAATGAACACAGTCTAAGCCTAAACATGTTTACTCTGCATGTCTACAGTGTGAGTTCACAGTAAGTTCTACACCTGATGATGCTATAACATCTTCACCACCACCCAAAAGACTTAATATGTGTCTAAAGAAAAACAAATTAGAGCTTACCTCACAGAACCTTCTGGAACATTTGGTACATACAGGGTAACAGGAAAGGGGTATTGACTGGAAGATTTCATGGTTGCCATTGCCCGTAAAGCCTCTACTTCATTACGTGGGGAAGAAACCTTCATACATCCTAAGTAGGTCAGTTTATTAAATAAAACACTATCTTCTTCAGGTAGTCCACCTGGAGAAGATGGTCTGGGTGTAGAAATTTCTGAAGAAACAAAAAAAGAAACACTCAAAAGTCATTGCAAAACTCCACCATCATTATAATCTTGCCAATGCCCAAAAAGAAATGAAATATTTCAAACAAAATCTAGGTCTCTCTGTATTTTCACTCCTTTTATATTTTAAAATTTTAGGATTTAAAATCTAGGATTCTAGGATTTTATAATCCTAAATCTTATGTCAGAGTTCCAGAGCCAGCCATTTCATACTTTTGAATCTCTCAAAATATTATCTTACTTAGCTGTAAGTTCTTCAGATGAGAGAAAAAATTTAAGCTTTATATTAAAAAAAACTCAAAAAGATAGAGTACAAGTATGTAAAAGAACAACAGAACCTCTGGTCTCCAAACTGACTATGCCAAAGCAAAAGATAAGCTTGGGAACCGAGTCACACCATACTGCCTTCTTTTTGTTCCCAGATAGCTGTAAATTCACAACCCTGTGTCATAGCCTTATCCATATGCCAGGTTCCCACAACGATAGAAGGGCACATATCTCCCCAGATGGCTTCCCTCACAGATTACTCACAAGGAATTTCCGTGTGAGCCCCTAAATCATTTAAGATATGTATCCTCCCTATAAACTAGCTCTAAAGCTGAGTTCTGTCAAATCTCATCCTCACAATGTCAATTATCAGCTTATCTTCACAGACACAGGACAAGACCAGAAATCGTCCCTTCACCTACACTAAGACGAATGCATAATTGACTTCCTTTTTTTTTATTCTTTTTTTTACTATACTTTAAGTTTTAGGGTACAAGTGCACAACGTGCAGGTTTGTTACATACGTATATATGTGCCATGTTGGTGTGCTGCATCCATTAACTCATCATTTAACATTAGGTATATCTCCTAATGCTATCCCTCCCCCCTCCCCCCACCTCACAACATGCCCCGGTGTGTGATGTTTCCCTTCCTGTGTCCATGTGTTCTCATAGTTCAATTCCCACCTATGAGTGAGAACATGCGGTGTTTGGTTTTTTGTCCTTGCGATAGTTTGCTGAGAATGATGGTTTCCAGCTTCATCCATGTCCCTACAAAGGACATGAACTCATCATTTTTATGGCTGCATAGTATTCCATGGTGTATATGTGCCACATTTTCTTAATCCAGTCTATCATTGTTGGACATTTGGGTTGGTTCCACAATGAGATACCATCTCACACCAGTTAGAATGGTGATCATTAAAAAGTCAGGAAACAGCAGGTGCTGGAGAGGATGTGGAGAAATAGGAACACTTTTACACTGTTGGCGGGACTGTAAACTAGTTCAACCATTGTGGAAGTCAGTGTGGCGATTCCTCAGGGATCTAGAACTAGAAATACCATTTGACCCAGCCATCCCATTACTGGGTATATACCCAAAGTATTATAAATCATGCTGCTATAAAGACACATGCACATGTATGTTTATAGCGGCACTATTCACAATAGCAAAGACTTGGAACCAACCCAAATGACTTTTTCCTCTACTCCCTCTTTTCACATGTAAAGTGTAGATTTATTGAGGCTAGTCAGAGCCTCACAAGAATGCAACCATTTGCCTCACTGCCTACCTTTCCCTCTTTTTTAACCTGTGCTTGCCCTTTCCCCGTTTAAACACCGAAATTCCCAAAACCCCTCTAGAAAAGCACAGGTCACAACTGTTCCTGTGGCTTGTTTTTCCCAGGCACATACTAAACCCTTGACTAAGTAAACCTCTATGGATTGAGACCTGCCACTTTTTGGTTAACAAGTGATATAGAACAATAAGGAGGAAAAACTATACTAAAGATACTGTGAATTAGCCCCAAAATAATGAGGATTAAACAAAAGTAAATCAGCTAAAAGTTTATCTTGACTGTAAAGATCCTTCACTGCACCACATTTATTAAGCAGCCTAACTTCCTAAGCAAAAACAAGCAATGTTAAAATGTTACATCTCATACCAACAACAAGTGTCAAGCTCCTTATTTCCCTCATTCCTGGCTTGCTGGCTTCTATGAACTATAATGAACTATATAAGTATTCCAATGGAATTTTTTTCCTCAAAATAATTATTTTTGATGAATGAATCTACGATTGCTTCGCCCAATTCCATCCCCATCATAATGAATTTCTTTAAAAAAAAAAAACTGTTCATTTTATTCTAAGAACAGCAGGCAGCAAAGGTCCAATTGTGGTTAGAGAGCATCCATCTCCGTGTATCAGGTAGTATAACATTCTCCCTTCATGCCCCTACCTAAAATCCACATTCTGCTTGGCTTCCCCGCTGTTACCTACATTCATGCCGCACAAAATTAAGCATACATGTATCACTTGAACTAGGTCCTTGCAACATTTTCAGACTGCCATTACCAGGATTCCTCTTGTAGGATAGGATTTTAATAAATAATTCACAAAAGCCATTTCAAATTCCCCAACTGCAGCTCCTAAATATTATACTAAAATATGCAACTTCACCACTGACTTTTTTGTTAAGGAACTAAAGCCATTCAAAATGAACTACTTCATCTACCATGTTCTTCAACCACTGAAACATGTTTTTCTCCCTTTTTCAGTCAGTTCAATATAATGTATTTCAAAAGGGATAAATAAAAAACTACAAATACATTTTAATATGTTTAAATTACTTTGTATTATATTATTATATACATGTATGTTTTTACATACTTTTCTTAATGTAACAAGCACTTATGCAGCAACAATAAGACTGATGAGCCTGGGTGATTACGTAGTTCAAGTGGTCTAACATGTGTAACTAGAGTCTTAAAAACAGAAAAAATATAAGATGAATGTGAACCAGTGAGGAACAACAAAAAATAATATAAATAAAAAGAGAAAAGAGGAGGCCAAAAAGAAGTTGTTTGAAGAGGTATTTTATAAACCTGTGTAACCCAAGATTCATGACTCTACAGATTCCAAATATAAAACAGTACAGAAACTGATCCAAAAATAAGAAATGATAAAATAGGCAAAGAAGGCCTATACGACTATTATAAATATGATCAAGGATTTAAAGATAAACATCTAACAAAATAAGAAGAAAAATGAAAGACATAAAAAAGAACCAAAAGAAATTCTAGAGCTGAAAAAATACAAGATCTGCAGTAAAATATTCCCCAGGTGAATATAACAGCAGTTTCTAAATTGCAGAAGAGGAATGTTAAAGGAAGTTCCTTGGGCTACAGGAAAATGATAGAAAACTGAAGAGCACGAGAAGTTAAATATGAGAAAAAGACCTATTCCTTGCTCTTTAATTTCTTCAAAATATAACAGACTAAAGCAAAAAAAAAAAAAACCACAGTATTTTGTAGAACTTCTAACATATGTATTAGCAAAATGAATGAGAGCAGAAGCATAAAATCTAGAAGGTAACAAAAGATCCTTACAATGTACATAAAGTGTTATGACATTATTAGAATGTAAATGAGTTAAAGACTTGAGTTATAAACTCCAGAGCAAATACTAAAATAATAAGACAAAATTATATAGCTAATGTGCCAATAATGGAGATAAAATAGAACATTAAAAATAATCTAAAGGCAGGAAAGGAGGGGAAAAACAAGAACAGAAGAGACAGAGAAAAACAGCAAGAGAGTAAGTACACTTAGATCCAAATATATTTAAAATTACATCAAAGGTAAATGGTCAGCTGGGCGCAGTGACTCATGCCTGTAATCCCAGCACTTTGGTAGGCCCAGGCAGGCAGATCATGAGGTCAAGAGATGGAGACCATCCTGGCCAACAGGGTGAAACCCCATCTCTACTAAAAAAAAAAAAAAATTAGCTGGGCATGGTGGCATGCACCTGTAGTCCCAGCTACTCAGGAGGCTGAGGCAGGAGAATTGCTTGAACTCAGGAGGTGGAGGTTGCAGTGAGCTGAGATCGTGCCATTGCACTCCAGCCTAGGCAACAAGAGTGAAACTCCATCTCAAAAAAAAAAAAAAAAAAGTAAATGGTCAGCTTTTTCTGTAAAGGGTCATATGATAAATATTTTAGGTTTGGTGGGCCAAGAGACAAAATCTACAATATTATGCAAGTATTTATACAAGTGAGAAAAAAACCTTCCACAGATTTTTTGACAAAACTTAAAACTTAATTATGGATACTAAAATTTGAATTTCATATAAGCTTCATGTGTCACAATATTATTCTCCTTTTGATATGTTAGAGCCATTTAAAAATGTAAAAACCATTTTACTTTGCAAGCCACACCATAAACAAGTAGGAAGTGGAATTTGGCTCACAGATAGTAGTTTACTTATCCTAGTCTAAACCCAACTAAAAGACTGAGATTGTTAAACTGGATTTTAAAAAGGTATCTACAAGAAACACTCTTTAAAGATAAAAATAGATGAAAATTTTTTTTAAAAAAAAAGGAAAAAGAAAAATATATACCATGCAAATACTAATCATAAGAAACCAAAAGTGGCTATATTAATATAAGAAAAACTAGACTTCAGGACAAGGAATTTTAACAAAAAGAAAACGGATATTTCACAAGGCTAAAATGGTCAATTCATTAAGAAAACACAAAAATTCTAAGTGACTATGCCCTTAATAGCAGAACTTCAAAACAGCTGAAGCAAAAACAGACTCAAGATTATTGAACTGGACCAGTGAAATTGAAGTGATAAGCCTGTTACAATTTATCTCTCCTACTGTTATAAGTTATCTCTCCCACAGATTATACCTGAAAACTTTCGACAGAATATAAAAAGCAACGACCGGAGGACTCTTTCTTTCTTTTTTTATTGAGATTGGGTTTCGCTATGTTGCGCAGGCTGGTCTTGAACTCCTGAGCTCAAGTGATCCGCCCACTTTGGCTTCCCAAAGCGCTGGGATTACAGGCGTGAGCCACCACATCCAGCCTCCTTTTAAAAAGTAAATAGGAACAGCCAGAGTGGAGAGGAAAGTGAAAATCTGAACCTCTATTACAGTGGTGAGTTTTCCATTTTTCTCATCATCACCTCCCAGTTTTGACCTAAGGGTGGTCCGAGTTGCAGAATAGCAGTGAGCAACAAAACAAAGAAATCCAATCTTTCCAGCCAAATAACAGAAAAAGAAGTCCCTGCAAACTAGAGAGTATCTGAGAAATCATGACTTGTTTCTGTTTTGTTTTCTCTCCCAGTTCTACCACTAGCCCCGACCACAGAACTACCTGAAATGCTGGTAGTCGCGGTGGTACTGTAAGCATCTACAATCTGGAGGAAAAGAAATGTGTCTCAAAGGCTAAAATACCAAAGCAAAGAGGCCCCTATAACCCAAAAATGGAAAAGAAAAACTCTATTATTTTTCCCTCTCTTTTCTCTCACCACTTTGTCATAAAGTGCTCCAGACATATGATTCTGCAAAACAGCACAAAGCAGCAAAAACTCTAAGAAAGAAACCTGTCTTTCTAACACAGGGGTAGAAGGAAAATGGCCCAAGGAAGCCAGAGAGTGTGGGGAAATCTCAGAGAGGAGAGAGCTGAAGAAGATAATCCCCTAACTCTGCGTGTAAACTAGCAAACTGTGTATGCATGTGGAACAGACTGAAGAAGCACAGCAAAGGTTTTGAGAATTGAAAATACTTTGGAACCAGAAAGCAAGACAGATCTTGCAGTTTGGACACAACCAGGTGGAATGTCTGCTTTAAAAAAAAAAAAAAAAAAAAAGTCAACATTCTTCAGAGGATTTTAACAAGAAATAGTCTCAAAACATAAGATTCGAAAACTCTGGGAACAAGCCAATTACTCAACAAACATAAAAGGGTGATCTATTCTCAAGTGAAAAAATAATCCACAGACCAATCCCAAGATGTCCCAGTTGCTCCATAAATAATCCATAAAATAAACGTGAAAACACCTGTAATGAATAAAAATATCAAAACTATCCACAGAGAAACAAAAAAACTTTAAAAAACAATGTAAATTTAAAAACAGAAAAATACAATATCTAAAATTAAAAATTCATCAGACGATCTCAATAGCAGAATGGAGATTAACAAAGTAAAAAGTCAGTGAGCTTGAACACAGGGAAAACAATGAAAAGAGCCTAAGGAATTGTGAGAACGGTATGGAAATGTCTACCATTTTTGTCTACTGAGTCCCAGAAAAGAAAGAGATTAGTGTAGAAACAAAACAATTACCAAGAAATAATGGGTGAAAACTCCCAAATTTGGTTAAAGATATAAATTTACAGATTCAAGAATCTCAGTGATCCAAAAAAAAAAGATAAACTCAAAGAAAACCACACACAGATAATCAAACTGCTGAAAACAATGAAATAAAAGTACTGAAAGCAAAGAAAAATAACATATTACAAATAGGAGAACAATGATTCAAATCCCTTCAGATTTGTTATCAGAAACAATGGAGACAAGAAGACACTGGAAAAGCATTTTTAAAGTGCTCAAGGAAATATACGTATGGCTGTTGAAAGCAAAATTATTAGACTGGTAGGTTTTTCAATGTATGTATATGTAATACATGTCAATATCAGGAATGAGAGGATATTAATACACATCCTGCAGACATTAAAAGGATAATAAGAGAATATTACTCTATAACAGAGAAACAACTCTATCCCCATACTTAGGTGAAATTAACCAATTACTTGAAAGATGAAAACACCAAAGTACACTCAAGAAGAAATAGATAACCTAAATGGTCTTTTGCACTCAGATTTAAAATTTTTTTTTGAGATGGAGTCTCACTCTGCTGCCTAGGCTGGAGTGCAGTGGTGTAATCTTGGCTCACTGCAACCTCCGCCTCCTGGGTTCAAGCCATTCTCCTGCCCAGATTCTCAGCTGGGATTACAGGCATGAACCACCATGCCCGGCTAATTTTTGTATTTTAGTAGACACCGGGTGTCACCATGTTGGCCAGGCTGGTCTTGAACTCCTGACCTCAAGTAATCCACCCACCTTGGCCTCCCAAAGTGCTGGGATTACAGGTGTGAGCCACCATGCCCAGGCCAGACTTAAATTTTTCTATAATGATATGCAACTATCTTTTCCTTTTGTGATTTGGCTTTTCCTACCTTGACAATCACAAAAATATGCTCCATTGTTTTCTTCTTACAGGCTTATTTCTCACTTTAAATATCTGATTCACTAAAAATAATTTTTATGTACAACTAAGGAACCTAATTTTATTTTATTGCACTCAAAGATGCAACTGTCCCAACACTATTTACTGCATAGTTACCATTTCCCCCAGTGGTATGTGAAGCGAATTCTGTCATATACTGAAATCCTTTATATACATAGGTTTGTTTCTGGTACCCTGTTCTAGTGATTCACTTCTATAACAAGCCAATATCACATTGGTTTAATCACTGTAACTCTGTAGTCTATCTTAATACATAATATTCTTTTTAAAAATTTTCTTAGCTACCTGTGTACCTCTACTTGTCCAGATACATTTCAGAATGTTTATAAAAATAACTGAAAATTTGAAATTCCCACCCAAGTTACAGACTAATTTGGAGATAAGTTACATCTTTTCAAGGTTGACTCCTATCAATCAACATGGCATCTCTCCCCATTCATTCAGGTGTTCATTTCCTTCAATAACATTTTATAATTTTATTAAAATTTTACATAAATTTTTGTTTCTTCCTTGTTACCTATTATTTTTGTTGGTATTATGAATGGCAATTTTATTTTCTACTGTTGGTGCTAACCTTCCTAAAAGTCGTTAAATCTTTTTTTTTTTTTTTTTTTTGAGATGGAGTCTCACTCTGTTGCCCAGGTTGGAGTGCAGTGGCATGATCTCAGTTCATTGCAACCTCCACCTCCTGGGTTCAAGTGACTTTTCTGTCTCAGCCTCCTGAGCAGCTGGAATTTCAAGTGTTCACCACCCTGCCCAGCTAATTTTTTTTTTTTTTTTTTTTTTTTTTTTTAGACAGAGTCTCACTGTCACGCAGGCTGGAGTGCAATGGTGCAGTCTTGGCTCACTGCAACCTCTGCCTCCCAGGTTCAAGCGATTCTCTCGCCTCAGCCTCCTGAGTAGCTGGGACTACAGGCATGTGCTGCCACACCCAGTTAATTTTTGTATTTTTAGTAGAGACGGGGTTTCACTATATTAGCCAGGCTGGTCTGGAACTCCTGATCTCGTGACCTGCCCATCTTGGCCTCCCAAAGTGGTGGGATTACAGGCTTGAGCCACCCCGCCCAGCCATTTTTGTATTTTTAATAGAGACGGGGTTTTGCCATGTTGGCCAGGCTGGTCTCAAACTCCTGACTTCAAGTGATCTGCCCGCCTCACCCTCCCAAATTGCTGGGATTACAGGCATGAGCCACCATGCCTGGCAAAAAGTCTTTAAATCTAATAGCTTATCCATTCACTTTCTTAAATACTTTACCAATCATGAGAATTTTTTCACTTTTTTTCTAATCACACTTCATTTCTTTTTCCTGTCATCTTGCATTGGCTGGATTCTTTAGTACAACGTCAAAGAGCTATGGTGATAGCTATCATGCCCTAACTGCTCCTGTTTCAATATATCTTGATGGTAACGCATTTTAAATTTCAGCATAAAACATAAGACTTTGATAGATATTTGATTAAGCAAGTTTCCTTCTAAGTTTTCCAAGAACTTTACATGTGCATATACATGTAAAATTTTAAATTTTATCCAGTGCTTGTTCTTTATCTACTGATACTTTTTCACTCTTCACCACTTTATGTGGTAAACCACACTGAAAGATTTTTCTAATGCTTAATCATCCTTGCCATGGAAGGCACTGTGATTACATTCCCTACATAAATGCATCACAGCCCTATTGTGTAACAGTTTGGCTATACCTATACTTACCCTGTACCAAGGTTCATTTGGTTCAGAAATGAATCACGAGTTTCCTAAGCCAATTAGGATAATCCCATCCCCTCTGTCAGAGTGACTTATTTACAGGTTTGAATGTAACCCAGGCCTACAGCTATCAGTTCATGTCATTTCCCTCACTACTAGAAAATGGTTTCACTGGTCCAATCAGAGTAAAACTCAGAACTTTTATTTAATCCGTAAAACAGGCCAGGGATGGGTGCAATGGCTTGCACTGGTAAACCCGACACTTTGGGAGGCTGAGGTGGGCAGATCACCTGAAGCCAGGAATTCAAGACCGGCCTGGTCAACATGGCAAAACCCCATCACTACAAAAAAAAAAAAAAAATTAGCTAGGCATGGTGGTACACACCCAGCTACTCAGAAGGCTGAACAGCATCACTGCACTTCAGCCTGGATGACAGAATGAGATCGTGTCACCAAAGAAATTTTAAAAATCAGTAAAAGAATGAAGACTTTCTCTTTGCCACCAGGCACAAACAGGTCACCTTCCCTTACCTACCAGTTTCTGCTGGTAGCTACTTTGTAACCAGCTAAGGAGAAAGGTAACATAGACAAGATCAGAGCTGAGTAGTTACCAAAAAAACACCATCAGAGCCTAGATCAAATTATACCTGTGGTGTTTAAGCCAGCTGAAGTTGGAGCTGGTTTTGGTTTTATTTATTTTTGCACCCAAAAGCATCTTGACTTATAAGCTAGTATTCAAAGTACAAATCCTAATTATTCATAGATGTATTTATTATTTAATACACTGTTGGAATTGATATGTTTTACTTAGAGTTTTTACTAAATATAACTTTAAATAAGTGTAGTGAAACTGAGCAAAAAGGCACATCACATGAAAGACTATCTCCATTACACTATTCTGTGACACCCAAGTATTTACTCATTTGTTCAGTAAGTATCTGTTGAGGACCTACCATGCATGAAGTACTAGGGGTAAAATGAGGACCCAGACATAGTCTTTGTTCCCAAAGAACATTAAGACCTGATTTTTATAGGCAGAGATATAGGCAGAAACATAACACCGAAGTGGAAACTCTCAACAAGAACTGAAAGCTTGAGAAGAGCTAACAATTTTTTCTGATTTTCATCTTAAAATTTTCACTATTACTTTATCCCATTTCTTTAATAGTTTCTAAGAATTCAATACAGTACCTGTGTTAGACGGATCCAAAATTAACTGAAGAGATGGCTTATTTGTTTGGCTGGCTGGAATATCTCCAAACGAATGGTCTGAAATCTCACTGGAACTTTGACAATCAACAAGAAGACTGCTTGGCCTTTTCTCGGAATCTCTCAAAATCTCTTCCATGGCTTTTTCCAATTGTTCATCACCATTAGAAACTATCTACAGACACAGCAAGACAATTCTGTTTCAATTCTACCATAGTTCTGAAGCTAAATTTTATGAAAGTATTTCATTTCTAGAAGAAATTAAAACAATCTAAATATTTAAATATAGTTACTAAAATACTAAGAAGTTGTTTCACATATATAATACATTAAAATCCTGGTTATAAAACTAAATTAGAGGAAGATTATTAGTTTCACAAAAGGATTCTTTATAAAACACTTAAGACAGTTTCCAACTACATTTTATATAAGATCCTATTTACAGAGATGTATTTATCTTTTTTTCCCCTTTCTTTTTAAAGACAGAGTCTCACTCTGTCACCCAGGCTGGAATGCAGCGGTGCAATCTCAGCTTATTGCAAACTTCGCCTCCTGGGTTCAAGCGATTCTCATGCCTCAGCCTCTCAAGTAGATGGGACTACAGGCGTGCACGACCACACCCAGCTAATTTTTGTATTTTTTGTAGAGACGGGATTTCCCCACATTGGCCAGGCTGGTCTTGAGCTCCTTACCTCAAGCAATCTGCCCACCTTGGCCTCCCAAAGTGCTGGGAGTACAGGCTATGAGCCACCACGCCTGGCCCTTCTTTTTCTTTTTCTTTTTTAGGAACACACCCTAAAAATCAGATAACCTTAAATTTACATGTCTAAAGGAAAAAATAGGTAAATTTAAATCGGGTCTATTATGAATATCATTTAAAAGGTTATATTTCTTGTTAGCACAGCATAACCATATTTCTGATTTCTTTACAAATTGTTGGCTAGCTCCCAAGATGAATATTGCTAATTTCCTTACACTTAAGTTGACTCATAGTTTTCTCAAAGGCAGGTGAAACACAAAGCCTAAGCAAATAAGTGATGTCTTAAACACAATAATGCTAAAATACAGGTATCTAAAAATAAAGCCACTGATTATTTAAATAAAATTATAAAACAATATATTCTCAACATAAACATTTAGTAATCTCATTTTCAGAATATATTTTATTAGACTGATATATTAATACACTTTTGATGCCATAGTTAATACTAAATAAAAGTCATAAGTAATATATAGCACTTTTAACTACTTTTCCTATTCCTGTTTCTAGAAGACAGTTATACCATTTTCAAGCCTATATAACTGAGTTTACTTGCTTCCTTTTCTTTGACTTAGAAAGTGCAACACAGAAGTGAAAAAGGGACCATATCTAAATAAAAACTCAAATGCTAAAAATATAAGATATGCTTTAAAAACATTTAGACAAGTCGACTGTTAAATCACACAACGGAACGTTACCAGCTGATTTAAAACATAAAAATCATAAAGAAAAAAGTCTCTCAAGTGAAAGCAAAACATTTAATTAACTTCTAAAACCCAGCAGTAAGAGAAACAAAAACATCCAGATAAAGTAATGTAAAATTTAACCATTATGTCTAATTCACCAAAAAATCCTTTCTCTTCTTTTTCTTCTTTTATTCTTCCCCCTAAAATTCCAAATCAAAAGGTAAACAACCAAAAGCAAGAACTTTTTAAAATACACAAACCAAATAATTAGGGTCTGGATAAATCAAACATTGATTTTATTTTGAAAGTCAGCACTTGAGAAAAACCTTTGCATTTTACACATCTCCTAAGTTTCAAATAGTTTTTAATTAAAAATTATACCATATGTAGAAAAGAAAAAAATACCTTCAGTTGAGGTTTTTCTTCATGTTTTGTAGAATTATCATCTGCATACTGAGGAACCAAAACAAATTCTTCACTGTTCATTGTAGCCACAGAATCAGATGATCCACTAACCTTCTGTAATGAAGCTCTGACCTCCATTTCAGTTCTGCAAACTTCTCTTCCCACAACCACCTGGAAAAACAAAAGGGATTAAAAAAAAAAACCTACTGATTAAAAACATGAACTAATTAAAAACATGAACTAATAAAGCTTTAAAAATGGTTTATGTGAAGAAGAATCCTGCTGGCTAGATAATTATCTCAAAGTTAGGGAGGCTACCTTCTTGGACTGAGCCACTTAATGGAAATGTACTCTCTCTTCATCCTAAGTTTCCAGACTAATAGAGCCATATTGTTACCTAAAAATTTACACAAACCAGTCCATATCTCAACCAGATTTATCACTGTTTACCTGACACACTCACTCTCATTTCTCTTAGAAATACTGTTTTCTTTTTAATAGAGGAAATAATTAAATGATACTAGAAATACCTACAAATGCACACACAGACACAAAACCATATTCACTGACACTGCTATATTAATTAAATCTAAATGCTTCAAAAAAAAACTTATCTCCTCAAGACCGAATATTGTACCTGCAAATATTTTTTCTGAGTAACTAAAGTTGACTAATACAGAATTCAACATCCTAAGACATATAGCTTCTCTTTCCTGACACATTATCACTTATTAACACCAAAAAGAAAAAGAAAAAAGCTTCTATATTGCCTTCACGTAGCAAATAATGTTTCAGTAATCAAACACAGTGTAATTCTGTTTTCTGGATAGATCTCTACAGCATAGAAACAACACTCACTATCATATCCAGAAGTTCATGTACTCACACAACTAAGTTTAACTGCAGACATACACTATATAACAGACACAACTCAGCCCTGAGGTTACCTAAGTGAATAAGGAAAACAAGTAGCCTGCACTTCTGGGGCTTACATACTAGTAAGAAAACAAATAAAAAGGGAGCAAATGGTGATTCCAAGTCACTCTAAAGGCTATGCAAACAATAAACACGTTAATGTGACAAACAGTAGCTATGGGAAGTATACGGACAAATTAAGGTGGTAGGAAAAAGCTCTCTGAGAGGAAAATATCTGAGCCTAAACCTGAAAGACAAAAAAGAACCCTACTATTACACAATCTGCTCAGTGACCAAATGAGTAATGTGATAGAGGGGCAGGACAAGCAGGCTAGGGCTAAAGAACACGGGACCTTGTAAGCCATAGTAAGTCTACTGATCCATGCCTAAAATCCCCCCAGAAATGTTATTTTTCTTTCTAATTAGGTTACCTTTTCATTATAGCCTATAAGTATAGCTGCAATATTCCATTTTGCCATTAGGTGACACTAACACCATTACTCTTGGCAATAAAAAGAATGAGTCTAGCTTCAAGTTACATGTGTATCTTTTAAAAAGTAATTACTTTCCAACTTTATAAAAAATCAAAAATTTCAAGAATATCAAAATAAAGAATAACCATACTCCTGGACCAGTGTAATTAGCTAGCCATCATTTATTTCTGTTATGCATGTTAACACCCTTCCTTTTTAAAACCCAAGCGACATTCATCTGTCCTCTGAAGGTTTTTTTCTCACTTTGTATATTTTGTTTCTAAAAATGCAGAATGTGTTACAAGCCAGGTCTTTACTCTTCCAGACTGCACGATGAATCCTTAACTGCCAACACACCACATATTCCAGATGTCTTTCTGTGGTCAATCCTTCAAGTCCTTCTCAGGTTGCTGCTCCTCTACCTGATTTCTAAATGTTAGAAATTCCCTGAGTTCAGATCCTGACCTTTTCCCTTGTCACACACTCTAAGTAATGTCTGTCATTGTCATGGACGAAAATACCATCTGCAGGCTAACAGTCTTCCAAATTTCTATCCCAACTCAAATACCTTCTCTAAATTCCTGCCCTGAAATTCACCTCTCTACTTGATATTTCCATGTGGAAGTCTTATCGTATCTTAAATGAAACATGACCAAAATGGAATTCCTAATGTCTCCTCCAAACTTGTTTCCAGTCCCGATTTGCCATTTCAGTAAATAACACCACTATCTTCTACAAAGTTACTTGAACACGAAACCTGGATATCATCCTTGATTCACCTCCACTTCTTTACTCCTCACATCAGCAAGTCATGTCAGACCCACTTCCAAAATAAGACTCACATCTATCCATTTTTCTGTCTACTACTACTACCACTCTAGTCCAAACAATGCTCTTATCTACTGTAAAAGCCTCCTAACCCATCTTCTATTTCCAGTCTTCTTCCCTCAATCTACGTCATTGTTCACAAAGCTGCCAATTTATTTAATTTTTTTTCGGAAAATAAATTAGATTACATGAAAACTCCAGACCAAAACCTTTTCACTAAAATTTAAATAAAATTCAAACTGCTTCCCAAGACTTACAAGGCCCAATACACCCTTGCCCCCATCACTTTCTCATTATAATTCCTTAATCACACAAGTTCCAAAACAAGCAAAAACCAAGAAAAATCATTGCCAGCATATCTGGCTTGAAAGAAAGATTAAAAGTAGTTCTTCAGACAGAAAGAAAATTATATAGGTCAAAAATGTGGATCTATGTGATAAAAGGAAGAATAAATGTATTGGATGATTATACCACATGGACAAAAAAAAAAAACATGACAGCAATGGCAAAAAAAAAAAGGGGAGGGGGAGAGAGGGAGGAATTGGAAATATCCTGTTACAAGGTAATGGCACTACTTGTACATGGGTTACATGCAGTATAAAATTATTTAAAAAATTACTTTTTTACTCCTTTATTTTTAATTTTTGTGGGTACATGTGTATATATTAATGTGTTATGTGAGATACTTTTACATAGGCATGAAATGCATAATAATCACATCAGGGCAAATGGAGTATCCATCACCTCAAGCATTTATCCTTTGTGTTAGAAGCAATTCAATTATTCTCTTAGTTATTTTTAAATGTCCAATTAAATTGACTACATTCACCCTGCTGTGCTAGCAGATACTAGGTTTTATTCATTCTTTCTAATTATTTTTTCATACCTATTAACCATCCCCATGTCCCTTACCCATCCCACCTTCCCACTACCCTTTTCAGCTTCTGGTAATCATTGTTCTAATTCTCTATCTACATGAGTTCAATTATTCCAATTTTTAGCAATCAGAAATAAGTGAGAATGTGTGAACTTTGTCTTTCTGTGCCTGTTCACTTAACCTAATGACATCTGCTTTCATCCATGTTGCTGCAAAATGACAGGATCTCCTTCTTCTTTATGGCTGAATAGTACTCCACTGTATATGTATACATTTTCTTTATCTGTTGATGGACACTTAACGTTGCTTCCAAATCTTGGCTGCTGTGAGTAGTGCTGCAATAAACAAGGGAGTGCAGATATCTCTTCTTCGGAGTATATACCTAGCAGTGGGATTGGTGAATCATGTGAAACCTCAATTTTTAGATTTCTAAGGAACATATAAACTGTTCTTCATAGTGCTTGTACTAATGCATACTCCCACCAACAGTGTACCAGGGTTACCTTTTCTCCACATCCTCACTAGCATTTGTTAATGCTTGACTTTTGAATAAAAGCCAATTTACCTGGGGTGAGATAATATCTCATTGTAGTTTTGATTTGCATTTCTCTGATGATCAGTGTTGCTAAGCACCTTTTCATATGCCTTTTTGCCATTTGTATATCTTCTTTTGAGAAATGTCTATTCAAATCTATTGTCCATTTTTAAATTAGATTTTATTTTATTATTATTATTTTTTTTTTTTGAGATGGAGTTTCGCTCTTGTCGCCCAGGCTGGAATATAATGGCGCAACATTGGCTCACTGCAACCTCCACCTCCCTGGTTCAAGCAATTCTCCTGCCTCAGCCTCCCAAGTAGCTGGGATTACAGGTGTGCACCACCACACCCAGCTAATTTTTGTATTATTGGTAGAGACAGGGTTTCACTATGTTGGCCAGGCTGGGCTCGAACTCCTGACCCCAGGTGATCTACTCGCCCTGGCCTCCCAAAGTGCTGGGATTACAGGCGTGAGCCACTGCACCCAATCTAAATTAGATTTTTAATTAGATTAGACTTTTTCCTATAGAGTTGTTTGCGCTCCTTATATATTCTGGTTATTAATCCCTTGTCAGATAGGTAGTTTGAAAATATTTTCTCCCATTCTGTGGGTTGTCTCTTCACTTTGTTGATTGTTTTCTTTGTTGTGCAGATACCTTTTTAACTTGATGTGATACCATTTGTCCATTTTTGCTTTTTTTGCCCATGCTTTTAGGGTATCACTCAATAAATCTTTGCCCAGTCCAACGTCCTGGAGAGTTTCCCAATAATTTCTCTTAGTAGCTTCATAGTTTGAGGTCTTATATTTGAGTCTTCAATGTATTTTAATTTTGTTTTTGTACATGATGAGATACAGGGGTCCAGTTTCATCCTTCTGTATATGGATATCCATTCTTCCCAGCACCATTTATTGAACAGACTGTCCTTTCCCCAGTGTTATGTTCTTAGCAGCTTAGTCAAAACTGAGTTCACCATAGATGTACAGATTTATCTCTGGGTTCCCTATTATGTTCCACTGGTCTATGTGTTTCTTGCTAGTACTGGTTTTTGCTGTTTTGGTTACTATAGCTATGGAGCATAATTTAAAAGCAAATAATGTGATTGCTGCAGCTTTGTTCTTTTTGCTTAGGATAGTTTTGGCTATTCTGGGTCTTTTGTAGTTTCATATAAATTTTAGGACTTTTTTTTCTATTTCTGTGAAGAATGTCATTGTTATTTTGATATGGATTACATTTAATCTATAGATTGCTTTGGGTAAGTATGGACATTTTAACAATATTGGTTCCTCCAACCCATGAACATGGAATATCTTTCCAATGTTGTGTCTTCTCTGATTTCTTACATCAATGTTTTATGGTTTTCATTGTGGAGATCTTTCACTTCTTTGGTTTATTCCTAGGTATTTTATCTTATTTGTAGCTATTGTAAATGGGATTACTTTCTTGGTTTCAATTTCATATTTTTCACTGTTGGCATATAGAAATGCTACTGATTTTTATATGTTGATTTTTTATCCTGCAACTTTAATAAATCTGTTTATCAGTTCTAACAGTTTTTTGGTGGAGTCTTTAGGTTTTTCCAAATATAAGACCATATCATCTGCAAACAAGGATAATCTGACATTTTCCATTCCAATTTGTATGCCCTTTATTGCTTTCTCTTGTCTGATAGCTCTAGCTAGGACTTCCAGTATATGCTGAAAACAAAAGCAGTGAAAGTATGCATCCTTATTGTGTTATCAATCTCAGAGAAAAGGCTTTCAGCTTTTCCTTCTTCAGTATGATATTAGCAATGGGTCTCTCATACATGGCTTTTATTATGTTGAAGTATATTTCTTCCTTACCCAGTTCTTTAAGGGTTTTTATCACGAAGCGATGTTGAATGTTTTCAAATGCTTTTTTATCATCAACTGAAATCATCATCTGAAATCATCATATGGTTTTCATCCTTAATTCTGTTGATATGATGTATCACACCGATTGATATGTGTCTGTTGAACCATATTTGCATCCCTGGGATAAATCCCACTGATTGTGATCAATTTGATCTTTCTAATGTGTTCCTGTGTTTTGTTTGGTAACATTTTGTTGAGGATTTTTGCATCGATATTCATCAGAGATATTAGCCTACAGTTGTTTACTTGTTTGTTTTTGATGTGTCTTTGGTTGGGTATGAGGGTAATATTAGCCTCTTAGAATGACTTTGAAAGTATTCCCTTCTCCTCTATTTTTTGGAATAGTTTGAGTAAGTCTCACTCTGTCGCTCAGGCTGGAGTGCAGTGGCACAATCTCGGCTCACTGCAACCTCCACCTCCCAGGTTCAAGTGATTATCCTGCCTCAGCCTCCAGAGTAGCTAGGACTACAGGCATGCACCACCGTGCCCAGTTAATTTTTGTATTTTTAGTAGAGACAGGGTTTCACCATGTTGGCCAGGCTGGTCTTGAATTCCTGACCTCAGGTGATCCACCCACCTCAGCCTCCCAAAGTGCTGGGATTACAGGCATGAGCCACCATGCCCAGCTGGAATAGTTTGAATATATTTGATTAGTTCTCTAAATGTTTGGGAAAGTTCACCAGTGAAGCCATCAGGTCCCAGGCTTTTTTTGCTAGGACACTTTTCATTACAGCTTCAATCTCATTACTTGTTATTGGTCTGTTGAGGTTTTGGATTTCTTCACAGTTCAATCTTGATAGATTGTATGTGTCTAGGAATTTAGCCATTTCTTCTAGGTTTTCCCATTTATTGGCATATAGTTGCTCATAGTAACCACTAATGATCCTTTGAATTTCTGCAATATCAACTGTAATGCCTCCTTTTTCATCTCTGATTTTATTTTATTAATTTGGATCTCTCTTTTTCTCTTAGTCTGGCTAAGGGTTTGTCAATTTTCATTAACTTTTCAAACCACCAGCTTTTGGTTTTGTTGATCTATTATATTATTTTCTTCATGTCAAATTAATTTATTTCTGCCCTGATCTTTATTATTTCTTTTTTTCTACTAATTTTGGGTTTGGTTTGCTCTTGTTTTTCTAGTTCTTTAAGTATTGTTAGGTCGCTTACTTGAAGTTTTTCTTCTTTTTTGATGTAGGCACTTACAGTAATAAATTTCCCTCTTAGTACTGCTTTAGCTGTATCATATATGTTTTGGTATCTTCTGTTTCCATTATCATTTGTTTCAATGAATTTTTCAATTTCCTCCTTAATTTCTTCATTGATGCACTGGTCATTCAGGAGCATGTTGTTTAATTTCCATGTGTTTGTATAGTTTCTAAAATTCCTTTTGTTACTGATTTCTATTAGGTTGGTGCAAAAGTAATTGCCTTTTTAACGGCAAAGACCACAATTACTTTTGCACCAACCTAAGTTTCATTCTGTTGTCGTCAGAGACAATGCTTGATATTATTTCTTTTTTTGATGTTTTAAAACTTGTTTTGTGACCTAAGTACGGTCTATCCTTAAGAATAATCCATGTACTGAGGAAAAAAATATGTATTCTTCAGTCATTGGATTAAATGTTCTATAAACATCTATGAGGTCCATTTGGTCTATAAGGCACATTAAGTCTGATTACTCTTTGTTGATTTTTTGACTGGAAGATCTGTTCAATGTTGAAAGTGATGTGTTGAAGTTTCCAGCTGTTATCGTATTTGGGTCTATCCCTCTCTTTAGCTCTAATATCTGCTTTATATATCTGGGTGCTCTAGGGTTAGGTGCATATATATGTACAATCATTATATCCTCTTGCTGAATTGACCTTTTAGTCATTATACAGTGATCTTCTTTGTCTCTTCTAATAGTTTTTGTCTTAAAATCAATTTTGTCTGATAGAAGTATAGCTATTCCTGCTCCTTTTTGGTTTCCATTGACATGGAATATCTTTTTCCATCCTTTTATTTTCAGTCTATGTGTGTCTTTACAGGTAAAGTATGTTTCATGTAGGCAACAGATCAGTGGGTCTTGGTTTTTTATACATTCAGCCACTACTCTGTATCCTTTCATTGGAGAGTTTAATCCATTTACATTCACTGTTATTGCTGATAAGTAAGGACTTACTCCTATAACTGTTACTTGTTTTCTGGTATTTGCTTCCTTCTTTCCTTTCTGTCATCCTTTTAGTCAAGGTGATTTTCTATGATGGCATGATTTAATTTCTTGCTTCTCAATTTTTTTGTACTTATTGTATGTTTTTAGATTTAAGGTTACAATGAGTCTTGCAAATACTATCTTGTAACCCATTATTTTAAGCTGATAACAACACTTTGCATAAGCAAGCAAACAAGCAAGAAGAAAACTCATAAAGACACTACACCCTAACTTTATCCCCTGCTTAATCTTTTCTTGTTTCTATTTATATCTTTTTTGATTATCTATGTCTTGAAAAGTTGTTGCAGTTATTATTTTTTATTGGTTCATCATTTAGTCTTTCTACTTAGGACAAGAGTAGTTTACACACCACAGTTACTGTTACCATACTCTGTCTTTTTCTGTGAATTTACTATTACCAGTGAGTTTTGTACCTTCAGATAATTTCTTAATGCTCATTAACGTTCTTTTCTTTCTGGTTGAAGTACTCCCTTTAGCATTTCTTATAGGACAGGTCTGGTGTTCATGAAATCCCTCAGCTTTTGTCTGAGAAAGTCTTTACTTCTCCTTCATGTTTAAAGGATATTTTCACCAAACATATTATTCTAGAGTAAAAGTTTTTTCCTTCAGCACTTTAAACATGTCCTGCTGCTCTCTTCTGGTATATAAGGTTTCCACTGAAAAGTCTGACACAATGGAGCTCCATTATATGTTATTTGTTTCTTCTCTCTTGCTTCTTTTAGGATCCTTCCTTTATCCTTGACCTTTGGAAGTCTGATTATTAAATGTCTTGAGGCAGACATCATCTTCCTTTAAATCTGCTTGGTGTTCTATAACCTTCTTGTACTTGGATATTGATATCTTTCTGTAGATTTGGTAAGTTCTCTGTTATTACCCCTTTGAATAAACTTTCTACCCATATCTTTCTCTATCTCCTCTTTAAGGCCAATAACTTTTAGATTTGCCCTTCTGAGGCTATGTTCTAGATCCTGTAGGCATGCTTCATTGTTTTTGTTCTGTTTTGTTTTTCTTTTGTCTCCTCTGTGTATTTTCAAATGGCCTATCTTCAAGTTCACAAATTCTTCCTTCGGCTTGATCAATTCTGCTATTAAAAGACTTCAATACATTCTTCAGTGTGTCAACAGCATTTTTCAATTCCAAAATTTCTGCTTGATTCTTTTTAATTATTTAAATCTGTGTTCAATATATCTGATAGAATTCTGAATTCCTTCTCTGTGTTTTCTTGAATTTCTTTGAACTGCCTCAAAACAGCTATTTTGAATTTTCTGTCTCGCTTTCTCCAGAATTGGTCCCTGGTGCCTTATTTAGTTCCTTTGGTAAGGTCATGTTTTCCTGAATGGTCTTGATGCTTGTCGATGTTCATCTGCGTCTGGGCATTGAAGAGTTAGGTATCTACTGTAGTCTTCTCAGTCTGGGCTTGTTTGTACCCATCTTCTTGGGAAGGCTTTCCTAGCATTCAAAAGGACTTAGGTGTTGTGATCTAAGCTGTATCTGCATTAGGGGCACTCCATCCAAACCCAGTAACACTGTGGATCTTGCAGACTCACAAAGGTATCACCTTGACGGTCTTGCGTAAGAGATCTGGGAGAATTCTCTTGATTACCAGGCAGAGACTTTTATTCTCTTTACTTACTTTCTCTCAAACCAATGGAATCTCCCTCTCTGTTCTGTGCCACCTGGGGCTGAGGATAGAGTGACACAAGACTCCTGTTTCACCACCACTGAAACTGCACTGAGTCAAACCTAAAGTCAGGACAGCACTGTGTCTCACCAAAGGCCTGCTGTAAGCACTACCTGGCTACCGCCTATGGCAGCTCAAGGTCTTGATGCTGTATAATCAACAGGTAGCAAAGCCAGCCAGGTTTGTGTCCTTCCCCTCAGGGCAACAAGTTCCCCTGGGCCCCAGGTGGGTCAAGAAGTGTCATCTGGGAGCCAGGGACTGGAGTTTAAAAACCTAGAAGTCTACCTAATATTCTACTATGCTACAGATGAGCTGGCACTCAAACCACAAGACACAATTCTTCCACTCATCCCTGTCGTTTCCACAGGCAGAGGAGCCTTATCCTGTGGCCACCCACAACACAGGCCCATTTGGTATACTTCCAAGCTACTGCCGATGTTCCCTTAAGGCCCAAGGGCTCTTCAGTCAGTTTCTGGTGAATGCTGGCTGGCCTGGGACTCATTCCTCAGGGCAGAGGGCTCCCCTCTGGTCCAGGGCAGGTCCAGAAATACCATCTAAGAGCCAAGGCCTGGAAAAGGGGACCCAAAGACTCCACTTTGTGCTCTACCTCATCCCCAACCCCCAGGCCACAGACTGATACTGGTCCCAGGCCTGTTAGGAACAAGGCCACAGAGCAGGAGGTACGCAATGCATAAGCGAGTATTATTATTGCCTGAGCTCCACCTCACATCCAATCAGCAGTGGCATTAGATTCTCATAGGAGTGTGAACCCTACTGTGTACTGCACATGTGAGGGATCTAGGTTGAGTGCTCCTTACAAGAATCTAACTAATGCCTGATAATTTGAGGTAGAACAGTTTCATCCAGCCCCCATTCCGTGGACAACAACCATCTTCCATGAAACTGGTCCCCTGTGCCAAAAAGGTTGGGGACTGCTGTTCTACCCCACTATGGCCAAGCTGATAAACTGAATAGCCCTATATTTTTAAAGGAAGCACCAAAGATGACTTCACTGGTAAACTCCACCAAACATTTAAAGAAGAAATAATATCAATTTTCCACAATATCTTCCAGAATATAGAAGCAGAGGTAATACTTTCTAACTCATTCTGTGAGATCAGCACTGCTCTAATACCAAAACCAGATAACAAGAAAAATGAAAAACTATACATCCATATCTATAATGACATTAATACAAAAATTCTTAACAAAATATTAGAAAACCATATCCAACAATGTATTAAAAGAATTATATACCAGGTACGAAAGACTGGCTCAACATTCAAAAACCAATCAATGTCACCCTACATATCAATAGGCTAAAGAAAAATCATAATCATGTCAATTGAAATGCATTTGACAAAATCCAACATCCACTCATAAAACAAAACAAAACAAAAACTCTCAGTAAACTAGCAATTGAGGGGAATTTCCTCCAATAAATAAATTTACAAAACATCACACTTAATAATCACGAAGCAGACACTTTCCCCCTAAGATTGGAAGAAATAAAACGTATACAGATTGGAAAGGAAGAAATCAAACTGTCTTTATTTACAGATTACATGATTGTCAATGTGGAAAACCTAAAGATTCAAAAAGAGAAAAAAAAAACCCTCAGAACTAATAAGCAAGTACAGTAAGGTTGGAGGATACAAGGTCAATATACAAAAGTCACTATCCTCCCTACATACAATGGACAATAGGAATTTGAAAGTTAGAAAAGCAGTATCATTTACAATAGCAAGGGAAAAATTGAAATACTTAGGTATAAATCTAACAAAATATGCATAGGGTCTGTAAGCAGAAATCTAAAAAACACTGAGGAAGGAAATTAAATCAGATCTAATTAATGTAGAGATATTCAATGTTCATGGATTAGGAAATTCAAAGTTGTTAAATTGTCAATTCTTCCCAACTTGAGTACTTGATTCAAAAAATAACTTGTTGAGACTGATTGAGCACTGAACACCCAACTACAAGTTAGACTCTTTATCCACAAATTCGGCCACTTAGATGAAGGAGACCAGTTCCTTAAAAGACACAAAGTACCAAAATTCACACCAGGAGACACAGATAACTTGAATACCCCTATATTTTTCAAGAAACTGAATCAACAATAATTAATAGCCTTCTAAAAAAGACCTATCTGCACATGGGCAGGGACCAAGTCTATTTTTATTTTAGCCAACACATCCCCAGGACAGTATCTACACACACTATGCCTCAATAAATACTTCTTTAATAACCAAATGAATTATTTGGGATAGCAAGATGGATTCCAGCATCAGGTAGGAAGTTGGACTGCATGAGTTCTAAAGTCAAGTACTGACTTGACTCAAGATTCTCATGCTATGTGATTTCCAGAAGAATCCAGTCAGCTCCTGACCTACATTCCAAAACGTCCTTTCAAAATATAATTTACTAAGTCTACTATTATGCAGCAGTGTGCTATAACAAAATGTTAACTTTGTCTTTATGTATGGCAATCTGCTATTATTTCAAATCAAAAGAAATAACAGCTGGAATATTCTCAGAGGTCTTTTAAATAATATGAAGCTCACTGTTCTAGTGAACTTCAGACTAATACATCCATTTCAACGCAGCATGTACTACAGAGCAGTGTACAAATGCAAAACTGCTTTAAAATGCATTTAGTTAAGACTGCTCTGTTGCAATCTAAAAATCAGAATATAAAATCTGACAAAAGATTTTTATGTTTCTTCAGGTGCAAAAAATAATGGAAATATAGGCATAAATATTTTCACTTTCAGGGCATTTTAAAGATATACGGAAATAAGGAACAGAAGCTTATCAGCATTATAGAAAATCTGGTATGTATCAGTGTTTTGTTTCTTCTATCCATCCCCTTCTAAACTCAAAGGAGCTCAATAAATATTTAGATTAAATTAAATCACTTAAAGACACACTTCTCCCCCATACCTACAGCAATTCTACCAGTGAAATAGCTTATAATTCTTACTTTAATGCCACATCATTTTTGCTAAATGAGCAATAATGATATCTAAATTAATACCTCACTTGGATGCCTAAAACTACAATTTTCACATATACAAGAAATAGTACAACAATATTCAGCAATGTCTAACTGAAAGCTATTTTCTTCCCAAAATAACGTAACATATTCGAAAGTGTGCAATCACAGTGCACGTGATCTAATTTCCTTCAGTGCCAAATGTGGTTAGCCTCCTTCTTGCTTTTAGATCACGTGTTTGTGCCTACTCATTTTCAAGTGGCTCCTGAGCTAAAATAGAAACCTAAAAATATAAGGGTGAGTCAAGATTGGATAGGCTGCAAAGACTATCAGGCATTAGAATTAGAATGACTGTAGGAGATCCATAACAAAAGTAGAAAGGGAACTATTCTTAACTTACACTAAGAAAATGGACAAATACTTTATAGAACAACATTTGCCAACCAAAATTCTTCTGTGCTTTGAAAAACTGAGCCAATCCAGGAAAAAATTACCATGACTTTTGTTTACTAAACAGTCTATCCACTACTCTAGTTCCCAAGCAAGAACCAAACCAATATGTATGCATGTACACAAGTATGTCTCTAGCTCTGAAAAGGGGACAAAAGAACTTTATTAATTCACATTACTTTAATGGATACCTATTTTTATCTGTCCAACAATAATTCTCAAACATCTTATTCTGCGAATAAGCCTTCTCTCTACTTAAACCACATAGCTTTTATAAAAATGTCAACCCCACAGCCAAATAGATGAATCTAAGCTAGATCAATTAATCCAATTTCTAAGATTTTTGGACTAGTGACCAGCCATGTTTTTCCTCAATGAAGAATGACAGTGTGCAGTGAGAGAGAAAAGTAAACCCTAGACGGAGACAAGAAAAAGGGTCTTAACCAAGTCATATCCCTGAGTCATTCCTGAGGCCTAGCTCCAATTGTCCCCATCCTCAGTCTTAATAAATCTTCCATTTTTTATTTCCCTAAAATATTCCTTTCAACAAATTATTTTTGCACAAATTAGTTTAAATTGGGTTTCTAGAATTAGAGAAGCAAGAAGAAATCAACACCAAAGCTACCAGAAGAAAAGAAGTATTCAAAATCAGAGCTGAACTGAAGTAAATAGAGACAAGAAAAAACAATTAAAAGATGAATGAATCCAGGAGTTGGTTTTTTGAAAAACTTAGTAAGATACATAGGCCACTAGCTAGAGTAATAAAGAAAAGAGAGAACACAATTAGAAATAACAAAGGAAATGTTACCACTGACCCCACAGAAATAAAAAATAACCATCAGAAACTACTACAGACACCTCTATGCATACAAACTAGAAAGCCTAAAAGAGACATAAATTCCTGGACACATATGTCCTCCCAAGACTGAACCAGGAAGAAACTGATTCCCCACAGAGACCAATAACAAGCTCCAAAATTGAATCAGTAATAAAACGTCTACCAACCAAAAAAATCCCAGGACCTGATGGATTCACAGCTGAATTCTACCAGATCTACAGAGAAGAGCTGGTACCATTCCTACAGAAACTATTCCAAAAAACTGAGGAGGAGGGACTCCTCCCCAACTCATTCTATGAGGCCAGCACCATCCTGATAAACACAACAATAAAAGAAAACTGCAGGCTAATATCCTTGATGAACATCAACGCAAAAATCCTCAACAAAATACTTGAAAACCGAATCCGGCAACACATCAAAAAGCTAATCCACCACAATCAAGCAGCCTTCATCTCCAGGATGTGAAGTTGGTTAAACATACACAAATCAATAAATGTGACTCATCACAAAAACAGAACTAAAGACAAAAACCACGTGATTATCTCAAGAGAAGCAGAAAAGGCCTTTATTAGTCCATTCTCACATTGCTATAAAGAACTACCCATGACTGGGTAATTTATGAAGAAAGGAGATTTCACTGACTCACAGTTCCACAGGCTGTACAGAAAGCATGGCTGGTAGGCCTCAGAAAACTTAACAATCATAGCAGAAGGCGAAGGGCAAAGAAGCACATCTTACCATGGAGGAGCAGGAAAGAGAGAGAGAGTGAAGGGGGAAGTACTACACTCCACATCTCGTGAGAACAACCAGATCTTGTGAGAACTCACTCACTACCATGAGAACAGCAAGGGAGACATCCGCCCCCAGGATCCAATCACCTCCCACCAGGTCCCTCCCCTAACACTGGGGATTACAATTCAATATGAGATGTGGATGGGGACACAGAGCTAAACCATATCAAGGCCTCTGGTAAAATTCAACACCCCTTCATGTTAAAAATTCTCAGTAAACTATGTACTGAAGGAATAAAATAATAAGCCATCTATGACAAACCCACAGCCAACATTATACTCAACGGTCAAAAGCTAGAAGCATTCCCTGTAAAAACCGGCACAACACAAGGATGCCCTCTCTCACCACTCCTATTAAAAATAGTATTGGAAGTCCTAGCCAGAGCAATTAGGCAAGAGTAAGAAAGAGCATTCAAACAGAAAGAGTAGAAGTCAAACTATCTCTGTTTACAGATAACACGACTCTATATCTAGAAAGCCCCAGTCTCAGCCCAAAAGCTCCTTCAGCTGATAAACAACTTCAGCAAAGTTTCAGGATACAAAATCAATGTACAGGCCAGGCACAGTGGCTCACACGTATAATCCCAGCACTTTGGGAGGCTGAGGTGGGCAGATCACTTGAGGTCAGGAGTTTGAGACCAGCCTGGCCAACATGGTGAAATCCTGTCTCTACTAAAAATACAAAAATTAGCTGGGCATGGTGGCACATGCCTGAAATCCCAGCTATTCAGGAGGTTGACACACAAGAACACTTGAACCTGGGAAGTGGAGGTTGCAGTGAGCCGAGATTGTGCCACTGCACTCTAGTGCCACTGCACTCTGGGCAACAGAGAGATACACTATCTTTAAAAAAAAAAAAAAAAAAATCAATGTACAAAAATCACTAGCATTCCTATACACCAACAACAGCTAAGCCAAGAGCCAAATCAGAAAGGCAATCCCATTCCAAATTGCCACAAAAAGAACAAAATACCTGGGAATACAGCCAACCACGAGGTAGAACATCTCTACACTAAGAATTATAAAACACTGCTCAAGGAAATCAGAAACAACACAAATAAATGGAAAAACATCCCATGCTCATGGATAGAATGTCATTGAAATGGCCAAACTGCCTAAAGCAATTTACAGATTCAATGCTATTCCTATCAAACAACATTCTTCACAGAACTAGGAAAAACTATTTTAAAATTCATATGGAACCAAAAAAAGAACCTGAACAGCCAGAGAAATCCTAAGCAAAAATAACAAAGCTGAAGGCACCATGTTACCCAACTTCAAACTATACTACAGGGCTACAGTAACCAAAACAGCATGGTACGGGTACAAAAACAGGCACATAGACCAATGGAACAAAATAGAGAGCCCAGAAATAAGGCCACACACCTACAACCATCTGATCTTTGACAAAGCTGACAAAAACAATGGGGAAAAGACTCCCTGTTCAATAAATGGTGATGAGATAACTGGCTAGCCATATGCAGAACACTGAAGATGGACCATTTCCTTACATCATATACAAATGAGCAATGGGGAAAAGACTCCCTATTCAATAAATAGTGATGGGATAAACTGGCTAGCCACACACAGAACACTGAAGGTGGACCATTTCCTTACATCATAAACAAAAATTAACTCAAGATGGACTAAAGACTTAAGTGTAAAACCCAAAATTATAAAAATCCTGTAAGACAACCTAAAAAATACCACCCTGGACATAGGAACAGGCAAAGATTTCATGACGAAGACATCAAAGCAATCACAATAAAGGAAAAAAAGGACAAGTGGGATCTAATTAAATTCATGAGCTTCTGCACAGCAAAAGAAATAATACCACACATCTACAACCATCTGATCTTTGACAAACCTGACAAAAAGAAGCAATGGGGAAAGGATTCCCTATTTAATAAATGGTGCTGGGAAAACTGGCTAGCCATATGTAGAAAGCTGAAACTGGATCCCTTCCTTACACCTTATACAAAAATTAATTCAACATGGATTAAAGACTTAAATGTTAGACCTAAAACCATAAAAACCCTAGAAGAAAACCTAGGCAATACCATTCAGGACATAGGCATGGGCAAGGACTTCATGTCTAAAACACAGAAAGCAATGGCAACAAAAGCCAAAATTGACAAATGGGATCTAATTAAACTAAAGAGCTACTGCACAGCAAAAGAAACTACCATCAGAGTGAACAGGCAACCTACAAAATGGGAGAAAATTTTTGCAACCTACTCATCTGACAAAGGGCTAATATCCAGAATCTACAATGAACTCAAACAAATTTACAAGAAAAAAACAAACAACCCCATCAAAAAGTAGGCGAAGGATATGAACAGACACTTCTCAAAAGAAGGCATTTATGCAGCCAAAAACCACATTAAAAAATGCTCACCATCACTGGCCATCAGAGAAATGCAAATCAAAACCACAATGAGATACCATCTCACACCAGTTAGAATGGGAATCATTAAAAAGTCAGGAAACAACAGGTGCTGGAGAGGATGTGGAGAAATAGGAACACTTTTACACTGTTGGTGGGACTGTAAACTAGTTCAACCATTGTGGAAGTCAGTGTAGCGATTCCTCAGGGATCTAGAACTAGAAATACCATTTGACCCAGCCATCCCATTACTGGGTATATACCCAAAGGATTATAAATCATGCTGCTATAAAGACACATGCACACGTATGTTTATTGTGGCACTATTCACAATAGCAAAGACTTGGAACCAACCCAAATGTCCAACAATGATAGACTGGGTTAAGAAAATGTGGCACATATACACCATGGAATACTAGCAGCCATAAAAAATGATGAGTTCATGTCCTTTGTAGGGACATGGATGAAGCTGGAAACCATCATTCTCAGCAAACTGTCGCAAGGACAAAGAATCAAACACCGCATGTTCTCACTCGTAGGTGGGAATTGAACAATGAGAACACATGGACACAGGAAGGGGAACATTACACACCGGGGACTGTTGTGGGGTGGGGGGAGGGGGGAGGGATAGCATTAGGAGATATACCTAATGCTAAATGACGAGTTAATGGGTGCAGCACACCAACATGGCACATGTATACATATGTAACAAACCTGCACGTTGTGCACATGTACCCTAAAACTTAAAGTATAATTAAAAAAAAGAAAAAAAAAAGCCAAGCAATAATAGCATGAGAGGTAGTTTAACAAAAAAAAGAAAAATACAAGCACACATTCCCTTTAGACTCTAGCACACTGTGTAGCATCTACATAAAATAAATGATGATAGAATAAAGTACATATCACAGCTAAAGAATAGTTTCTAGGCCGGGTGCGGTGGCACCTGTAATCCCAGCCCCTTGGGAGGCCAAGGTGGGCGGATCACCTGAGCTCAGGAGTTCGAGACTAGACTAACCAACATGGTGAAACTCCATCTCTACTAAAACAAACAAAAATTAGCCGGGTGTGGTGGTGGGTGCCTGTAATCCCAGCTACTCGGGAGGCTGAGGCAGGAGAATCACTTGAGTAAGACTCCATCTCAAAAAAAAAAAAAAAAAATTTCTACACTGGGTGTGGTGGCTCACACCTGTAATTTCAACACTTTGGGAGCCTGCGACGGATTACTGCTTGAGGCCAAGAGTTCAAGACCAGCCTGAGCAACAGAGGGAGACTCTTGTCTCTGCAAAAAAAGAAAAATTAAAACTAAAATTAAAAAATAGTTTCTATAAACTACCATAATGATAGGAGCAGACTAAAACAAAAATTAACGACCAAAGTGAGCACCTCTTTCTGAATGAAAGAAAAGTGACATGTAAAACGACGGCCCTGGTGGTTGCTACTGAAGGGACAAGAAAAGAAACTTGTTTAAACAGGCAAAGCCACAGTGACTTCAGATGTGGATAACTGAAACCAAACGGGGACACATTGAAAAAGTTTTTCATCTTTTTTCAAAACAAAAGACACTGTACTTTATCCTATAAAGGTTATTTATATAAATGCAAAATACCAGCAGGGACAAGAGAACATAGCTAAAATTGTATGTATCAAATAATATTGCAGCATAATTATTAGAAAAACAAGGTTCAACGTGACTAGAAAACAAATATAGCAGGAAACAAACATGATCTCAATCCCAGAAATGTCAAGTAAACAAAAAAGCACAGAAAATTTAAACCTTAGAAGTATCAAAGTGGCATAAACTAAATATAACACAATTTGTAACCTTCAAAATATAACTTGTGCCACCTCTGGAAGCAGTTTCAACAATCTCCCCAACTGATTAAATCTACTCTAGTAAAATATGATTATTCTATAGGTTTATGGCAAAAACATCTGTATATACATGTTTTCTAGGAGCCATCCCTCTACCTCATATACAGATTTCTTTTTAATTTTTACTCATATTCAGGTAACTGTAGATAATAACCTAATGGACTAATCAAGTACAAAAAGGTATAGAATTTTCCTGTCAAGAATAGAAGCTGTTATGCCAGCTTACTTTGTTAATTTGCCAAAGAGTAAGATATATGTGTTTCACATTTTAGGAACACCAGATTGTTAGCTAACACCTACACAAGAACTCATATAGATCCTTTTGTAGTTCATAAGCATGATAACTGGGTTTTCACACACATATGAGATGTGCCTCCCTCAAACCTTGCTACAGCATTGGTACATTATCTGTCTAACATGGAAGAAAAAGACATCTCAGGTACCTATTTTAGCTTATTTGATTTTTACTTCCCTCTTACTCTAACTTGTTACGAAAATCTCAAATCTTAATGAAAACAATGAATATGACTTCTTTAACATTTATTTTCTCTTTAAAGAAATACCTGGATTTAAATCTATAAACCTCATATTTGTTTCCTATGAGTAATCATGACTAGAGAGAACCTAAGAAAGTATTTTTTAGAGCCAATAATTCTAAGAATAGCTATTACTTCCTTCATGGATTTTTCAGTTTTCCCTCAATCACCCTCACTGTTATTTCCCTGAAGCATTTTGCCAAACCACATTATGAGGGAGGGGAGACAAGAACCATCAACACTGATTTTTGACTCATGGAAACCCAGAATAAAATTTGCCCTATTTAAGATTTTCAAAAGACCGTTAGAGATATTGAATTGGCTCTCACAATCATGAAGGAATCCACTATTAAGGAAATAATGAACAAAACAACTGATCTTTTAAAACAGAATGTTTTAGAATTGAAAAACAATGTATGGGCCGGGCATGGTGGCTCACATCTGTAATCCCAGCACTTTGGGAAGCCAAAATGGGCGGATCACTTGCGGTCAGGAGTTCGAGACCAGCCTGGTCAAAATAGTGAAACCCCATCTCTACTAAAAATACAGAAATTGGCTGAGTGTGGTAGTATACGCCTGTAATCCTAGCTGCTCAGGAGGCTCAGGCAGGAGAATTGCTTGAATCCGGCAGGCAGAGGTTGCAGTGAGCCAAGACCACACCACTGCACTTCAGCCTGGGCAGTAGAGCGAGACCCTGTCTTAAAAAAGAAAAAAAACAATACATGAATAAAATTGCCTCCACTAAAATATATGACTCAAGATCTTACTGGTCGAGTGAGTAAAATAACATAAAATTCAGGTCTGATATGTCCATAATTTTCATATCCCATAACTTTAAGTGTTTATATTGAAGGCACTGAATTTTTTAATTTTCCTCAGTAATAAGAACTTTTTCTTTTGTCGAGATGGAGTTTTGCTCTTGTTGCCCAGGCTGGAGTGCAATGGCGCAATCTTGGCTCACTGCAACCTCCGCCTCCCAGGTTCAAGCGACTCTACTGCCTCAGCCTCCCGAGTAGCTGGGATTACAGGCATGCGCCACCACGCCCGGCTAATTTTGTATTTTTAGTACAGATGGGGTTTCTCCATGTTGGTGAGGCTGGTCTCGAACTCCCAACCTCAGGTGATCCACCCGCCTCAGCCTCCTAAAGTACTGGGATTATAGGCGTGAGCCACCATGCCCGGCCCTGGCCCTCATCTCTTTTCCCATTAATGCTGGAGGGGGCGCCTCACAAGCCAAGACACCTGCTAGTTGTTGGACTCACTCACTCTTGATGACCAAGGTGCCCGGCCAATAATATGAACTTTTAAATATTACTTTACCTCAATTCCCCAATACAGTGCAATGCATGCTGCTGCTGATCAGAAAATCTCATTTCCAATGCACCCTGTTGCTATCAGAAAATCCTCATTTGATTACTAAAAAGATTTTCATTTTGGAAAGACTTATTTTCATGTAACTTCAACAATCATCTTAAATCAAATAAATCTAAATACTAACTCAGAATCCAAAGAGCTTAAAAATTCAACTATTCTCATTAAGTCAATTCCTTGAATTTAGGGATTATTTACTGTGTGTCCTTCTCTCTCTAAAAGCCAAGAGTAATATCACAAATCTGCAAAGTCATTGTGAGGCTGGTTTAGTACAGTAAATAACTCCAAAATGAACTCAACAATAATGTATTTATTACTTCAAGAAACTCCTGAAGGCCTTTCTCTGTATATTATAAACAAGATCTAAACCATATACACTATGGATTTGGACATTTTTATCATTACAGCATGAATATTTAAAAATCAAGAAAAGTAACAATTATTTACCAAGAACTATTCAATCACTTTTATAGTCAGTGATTATTAGACTATAATAATCACTATATATTAGACTATAATTAGAACAGTGTTTCTAAGTCATAATAAGCATCTGTATTTCAAAAAAGGTTTCCAGTTGATCATGATACATATACCCAACTACTTTAAATATGCGCATTTTAGAGGAGTATGCTATGTAATCTCCTTATCTAATTTAATTCATACAACATTCACACAACCAATAATTATTGGGTCCATCTTCTGTAACAGGAACTATGGCTGATTCTGAAAACACATTCATATAAAATGGGTTTTTCTGCACTTCATGAAAAGGTGTCAGCTACATGCCCAGAACTCTAAGAATATCTACATAACACACACCATAACAGATTTTTTTTTTTTAGACGGAGTTTCGCTCTCGTTACCCAGGCTGGAGTGCAATGGTGCAATCTCAGCTCCCTGCAACCTCCGCCTCTTGAGTTCAAGTGATTCTCCTGCCTCAGCCACCCGAGTGGCTGAGATTACATGCGCCCGCAACCAATGCCCGGCTAATTTTTGTATTTTTAGTACAGACAGGGTTTCACCATGTTGTCCAGGCATAACAGATATTTTAAAAACAAGAGATCAGACGTATTGTGCTACGCTTAAGAAACAGAGAATCAAGCAGTGTGACAGAGGGGTTGTGAATGAGCAAAATTAAGGAAACAAATTCTATGGTTTTCCAAGTGTATTACGTGGAAACTCAGGGGCTCCTTTCACCAAGAGGGATCTAAACACATCTTCTACTGACCATCATGATTAAGATCGGGCAGTGTATCAGTCTGGAACCAAACCTACTTATAAGAGTTCAAGCCCTTTGGGATATTGACAAGAGGCCATTAAAACCTAACTATTTGACACTCAACTGCTGGAGTCAGACACTTGGGTTTAATCCTGGCTCTACTATTTATGAGCCTTATGACCTTAGGTGAGTAAATCTCTAAACTTCAACTTCATTAAGTTTACAGGAAAAACAGTATCTACCATAAAGTTGCTGAGAAAGAGAAAAGGATATAATTCATATGTAAAGCACTGGGCACAGTGCCTGGCACATTTTAAAAAGCTAAATAAATATTAATGTTTATCACTTATTGTTCTCTTTTATGATAATATGAATCCCAGATCAGTCATTCCTGGGGCTTCAAGAAATATTGCCACCTTTCATTTTTCTTAAATCAAAAATTTAATATGATCTATATCTACCTTTGTTATAAAACATCTCAAATTCCACCTTATGCTAAGACTAATACTAAGCTGGCAGAGACCTCCCACTTATAAAAATGAGCAGAAGACAAAGTTGATGTCCAAAAAAATACCATAATTCAAATTATGGATACTAGCCTAAACAATGAATGCACAATTTCTTCAGAAACAGATTTACTATAAGATACAGGAAAACATGTTTATAAAATTTCTAATTGATGTTCTCAGGACAATCCAAGAGAAGATTACAAACAAGAAACTAGAGCAGGAAGTTATGATGAGGAAACAATCTAAGATTTGGAGAAATTGCAGAGAAAAAATAATATGAAAACAACAGCAGAACTGGCCAGATTAGAACTTCAGTAAAGAGAAAAAAAAAAAAAAGAAAAAAGATTAAAAACTCAAAAAATTTTCCCAGAAAGAATAAAAGGATTAAGAAATATAAATGCTGCTCACGCCTGTAATCCCAGCACTTCGGGAGGCCGAGGCGGGTGGATCACAAGGTCAGGAGATCGAGACTATCCTGGCTAACACAGCGAAACCCCGTCTCTACCAAAAAATACAAAAAATTAGCCAGGCGTGGTGGCGGGCACCTGTAGTCCCAGCTGCTCGGAAGGCTGAGGCAGGAGAATGGCGTGAACCCAGGAGGCAGAGCTTGCAGTGAGCCAAGATCGTGCCACTGCACTCCAGCCTGGGCGACAGAGCAAGACTCAGTCTCAAAAAAAAAAAAAAGAAAGAAAGAAAGAAGTACAAATGCTGAGGAAAGAAAAATATGGAGATCATATCCAAAAGAGGCAATCTAAATAAAATAATTCCACAAGAAGAAAATAAAAAGAACTACAGCCCAGGCGTGGTGGCTCATGCTGGGAGGCCAAGGTGGGCGGATCACGAGGTCAGGAGACCCAGACCATCCTGGCTAAAACGGTGAAACCCTGTCTCTGCTAAAAATACAAAAAATTAGCCAGGCATGGTGGTGCATGCCTGTAATCCCAGCTACTCAGGAGGCTGAGGCAGGAGAATCACTTGAACCCAGGAGGTGGAAGTTGCAGTGAGCTGAGATCACGCCACTGCACTCCAGCCTGGACGATAGAGCAAGACTCTGTCTCAAAAAAAAAAAAAAGAAGAAGAAGGATAGAAAGAAAGAAGGATAGAAAGAAAGAAAGAAAGAAAGAAAAGAAAGAAAGGAAAGAGAGAAAGAGAGAAAGAGAGAAAGAAAGAAAGAAAGAAAAGAAAGAAAAGAAAGAAAAGAAAGAAGGAAAGAAGGAAAGAAGGAAAGAAGGAAAGAAGGAAAGGAAAGGAAAGGAAAGGAAGGAAGGAAGGAAGGAAGGAAGGAAGGAAGGAAGAAAGAAAGAAAGAAAGAAAGAAAGAAAGAAAGAAAGAAAGAATTGATTAAGAACCCTACCCAAAGTTACTAGTATCATAACAGGAATTGGAAACCAAACAATCTGGCTCCTCAGTCTGTGGTCTTAAACATATTACACTCTCAAAAAAATACGAGAAGGAAATTTTTCTAAACTGAAGAAAAATCTGAATCGGAACATGTACAGATTTTGAGTATATAGGGAAAAATTAATTAAAACATGCCAATATCTAAATACAGCCTAATAAAAACATTTTTCAATCCTACAGAAAAACAAGAAATCAAAAAAGATTATCTACAAAGAGGAAAAAAGGAGAAATGGATATTCGGAAGGGCCAAGAGGAATCAAGTTAATCTCAGACTTAGCCCTTTCCTCTGGAAAACTAAAAGCCAGATTATAATGGATCAACCCTTAAACTTTCCCAGGGAGAAACATAAAGATCAAAATCTGAGAATCCCATATCTGCACATGTACATAATCAAGTCCTTCTCAACTGAACAAGAACTCAGAAAAGAGATCACTCATATAATATACTCTTCCTGAAAATAATTATCCAAATATATATATTCCAGGTTATCAAGAAAGAGCCAAAATTTTAAAACAAACACTCAAGGAGGGGGAAATTAGTTTATAAAGAACTAAGAGTGAACAATAAAATCAATTCACACCATATTAGGGTGAAATCACTTGTGATTCAATGTAAAGACCTCCTGAAAAACCTGATTTTATAAACTGGAAAATAATAATTTGTGTCAATCTAATTTCAAAGCAAACCCTGTGCCCACCAGCAGTCACTACCCATTCTCTCCTTCCCCCACTCCTGGCAACCACCTATCTGTTGTCTGTCTCTTCCTGTTGCTTTTTCTTCTTATAACTTTTTAGACATTCCTGACTATTCAAGAGACTGTGGCTAAGGCGTGCCGGCCCACCAGATGTCAGGTAACTGATAACAATCTTAGCACTTTTCCTGGGGGCAATGCAGAGCCAACAGGTCACTTTCTCAGAACTGGTCTCTAAGATTTAAAATCCTACTGACAGTCCCAGGCTTTAGAATTAACTGAAGCCGGCCGGGCACGGTGGCTCATGCCTATAATCCCAGCACTTTGGGAGGCTGAGGTGAGCAGATCACGAGGTCAGGAGTTTGAGACCAGCATGGCCAACATGGTGAAACCCCATCTCTACTAAAGATACAAAAAATTAGCTGGGCGTGGTGGTGCACACCTGTAATCCCAGCTACTTAGGAGGCTGGGGCAGGAGAATCGCTTGAACCCAGGAGGCAGAGGTTTCAGTGACCTGAGATCATGCTATTGCCCTCCAGCCTGGGCGACAGGGCAAGACTCCGTCTCCAAAAAAAAAAAAAAAAGAATTAACTGAAGCCTAATCCCGTAGATTCTCCACCACCACCACCATTAATTACCACAAGGGAGAAGAGAATGGTTATGACTGACTGAGTGCTTAGTACGAATGCAATTAAAGAGGTACCAAAGCCAAGCAGGTCAGTGTTGACCCCATGCTGGGCACTAAGAATGCCTGGTTTTGAATCATGGCTTCTACATGGATCAGTTTAATGACCCTGAACACGTAACTTGGTCTCTCCGTGCCTTAATTTTTTTCAGATGGAGGATAAATATTCCCATCTCACAGGATTGTTGTTAACATAAAATGAGTTACCATAAGTGCTTAGAACAGCACACATAAAATTATTGCTCCTATTACTGTAGTAATCATTTAACTATGTATATGTATATCAAAATATCATGTTTTACACCTTAAATATATACTATTTTAAAAGCTCCTATTTCAAATGACAGGTATTCACTAATGTACAGTTGACCCCTATTAATACTCCCTTCCCCAAAACACATGAAGAATATTTCTGACATTTTATTTTGACAAGAAAATCAAAACCTCTACCTGGCATTCTGTTTAATGTTCCTATATATGGTCAAGTCTTCAATATAAGGGCATATCAGCATAAAGGCAATTGTAGTCTTTTGTTTCCTGAAATGAGTAGGTCAGAGAAACAATATTAGTTTAAGGAGACAGGTTTTCTATTTTGGGGATTTTTTCTGAGAGTCTTGCTCTGTCACCCAGGCTGGAGTGCAGTGGCAAGATCTCGACTCACTGCAACCTCCACCTCCCAGATTCAAGCGATTCTCATGCCTCAGCCTCCCGAGTAGCTGGGATTACAGGCATGCACCACCATGCCCAGCTAATTTTTGTATTTTTAGTAGAGACAGGGTTTTGTCATGTTGGCAAGGGTGGTCTTGAACTCCTGACCTCAGATGATCTGCCCGCCTGGGCATTCCAAAGTGCTGGGATTACAGGCGTGAGCCACCGCGCTCAGCCAAGTTGTCTACTTTTAACAGCACAATTTAAGAATGTAACAAATGTGGCAGTTAAAATTTTTAAAGATGTAAACATTCGAGGTTTGATTTGTTAAGAATAACTGTTAAGGATAACAGTTATCCTTTTATTACTACTATTTGCTAAACCAGAAACTACTACTATAAACCAGAAAGTTCTGGGCATTTTAGTCATGTTTATGTTCGCAGTCATCACTCAACTGTATTCCCACCTTACAAATGAAGGAATACGTTCAAAAGAGTTAATTTGTTTTATTTAATATAGCTAATTAAAATACATAATTCAGTCCAGATCTGAAGCAACCAAATCAATCTCACTTTGTGGTGGTCTGTCTCCTACAGTAACGACAGCATTGTCAGGTGCCCATCTGAAGCCCAATGGTGACATGCCTGCCTAGTTTCCTGCCCAAAGTGTTTATGTGAAGGGACTCTGGCAAAAAACCTATTCCTTTGTTCTCCTATTTTCATGTGGGGGCTTTCACTTTTTGCTAGGAGTGCAATACTGTAATATTCACCACATTTTCTAACTCACCTTTACCAGTAATGAAGCTCAATACTTTATTTTGATCCATGTTTGGCTTATTGTTTCTCTTCTCTGTTAAGAAATCAGAGGCTGGGTGCAGTGGCTCACGTGTGTAATCCCAGCACTTTGGGAGGCCGAGACAGGTGGATCACCTGAGGTTGGAAGTTCGAGACCAGTCTGGCAAGATGGTAAAACCCTGTCTCTAATAAAAATACAAAATTTAGCTGGGCATGGTGGCATGTGCCTATAATCCCAGCTACTTGGGAGGCTGAGGCACAAGAATCACTTGAACCTGGTAGGTGAAGGTGCAGTGAGCCAAGATCATGCCACTGCACTCCAGGCTGGGCAACAGAGTGACAGACTCCATCTCCAAAAAAAAAAAAAAAAAAAACACCTCAGACAGGTGGATAAGTGACTCAATTAGACTCTCTTGAACCTCCAACTGCCATGTGTTACGCAGTTAGAGAAATAATCAAGGTTTGAGATCAAGCAGATATAGTTAATGAAACACACTGACAACATAAAGAGAATTACAGGAATGAGTATTATCATTTACAGAATAAAACCACTAACATAAATGTTCTAAGTTCAATTATAACATTTCAGAGAAAGTCTATTTTTGAACATACCTTTACTTCCATCTATGAAATTTTTAGACCATTCAGTCTAATACTCTAACCACTTTGAAAAAAACTAAGTCAATATCACCTGCTTTTACTGCTGCACAGAAAGCAGACTCTAGTATAAATGCATTCAGTCCTACATTCTAATTCCAATTTTTAGTCTGGCCCATCTTTCCACTGATTAATGTAGATGTATTTCTAGACCTTTGCTTACTCTGATAAGCTAAATCCGAACATTTCCCTGTGCACTGACTGTTCCTGAGTCAGTGTGTCTCTATTATTCCAGGAATGTCTCAGCTTATGCCCCAAGCATCTTCTAGCATTATTCTCTACGCACTGGCTAATAAAAACCATCAGGGCAGTAAGCAAGCTGATTAAAGCATACCAAGCAGTTATAAGACCTGGGTTAAAGCCAAGAAGAAAGCAACAGGAATGTGGCAGGAAAAGGAGGAAGCAGCTAATAAATGTTTAATTAGCAGCTACTATATGATCCCCTCCCAAAAAAAGTATGGGTACACATTATTGGCCCAATTTATGAGGGTAGCAGACTCAAATTAAGTAATTTTCCCCAAGGCTATACTACACGTAAGAGGGAGAAAAGTAATGCAATGTTTCATGATCTGACTGGCCAATCTTTTTTTCTCAAACTGGTGACGTACATCTTCAGGCATAAACTGAAACATACCAGGGATACACTAAGAAAAAGAAAGTAAGTGCTAAACCAGGTATGTAGTGTCAGCTCTCTTCATTCACCCCAGTTTTCAAAAATCAACAGACAAACAGGAAATGATTTTTGTTTTTCCTTTTTCTGGCAGTAATTCAAATATTTCTATATTTTTATTAACAGTATGCAATGAAATGCAAAATTCACACACATTCCTGAGATAAAACACAGAATTTAAGAAATTTTCAAGCTATTATAAGGTACAGGCATACCTCATTTTATTGTGCTTCACTTTATTGTGCTTTTTCATTATTATTCTATCTGTTCTGGTGATCTGTGATCAGCGATCTTTGGTATTACTATTGCAATAGTTTACAGGTGCCACAAACCGCACCTATCTAAGACAGCGAACTTCAGAGTTTAAAGTCTCTGTGTGTTCTGCCTGCTCCACCAACTAGCCGTTCTTCCATCTCTTTCCCTCTCCTTGGGCCTCCCTATTCCTGAAACACAACAATATTGAAAATAGGCCAATTAATAATGCTACAATGGCTTCTAAGTGTTCAAATGAAAGGAAAAGTTGCAAGTCTCTCATTTTAAAGCAAAAGCTAGAAATGATTAAGCTTACTGAGGAAGGCAACATGTTGAATGCGGAGACAGGCCAAAAGCTGGGCCTCTTGTACCGGTCAGTGAAGTCTGAATGCAAAGATAAAGTTCTTTTAAAAAATTTAAAGTGCCAGTCCACTGAACACACAAATGGTAAGAAAGTGAAACAGCCTTTTGCTGCTGAGTAGAAAGTTTTAGTGCTTTGGATAGAATATCAAACCAACCAACCATTGTCTTAAGCCAAATCCCAATCCAGAGCTAGGCTCTAACTCTTCAATTCTAAGCAAGGATAAAAAGGGTAAGGAAGCCGCAGAAGAAAAGTATGAAACTAGCAGATGCTGATTCATGTCATTTATCTTAGTCTGCTTTCTATTGCTTATTAAAAAATACCTGAAACTTGGTAATTTATAAAAAAAAATGATTTCTTACAGTTATGGATGCTGAGAAGCCCAAGGTAAATGGGCAGCATCTGGTGAGAGCCTTCTTTCTTTCTTTCTTTCTTTTTTTTTTTTTTTTTTGCAACGGAGTCTCGCTCTGTCACCAGGGTGGAGTGCAGTGGTGTGATCTTGGCTCACCGCAACCTCTGCCTCCCGCGTTCAAGTGATTCTCCTGGCTCAGCCTCCCAAGTAGCTGGGACTACAGGTGCACGCCACCATGCCCAGCTAATTTTTGTATTTTTAGTAGAGACGGGGTTTCACCATGTTGGCCAGGATGGTCTTCATCCCCTGACCTCATGATCCACCCGCCTCGGCCTCCCAAAGTGCTGGGATTACAGGCGTTAGCCACTGCACCCAGCCAAGGGCCTTCTTTCAGGTGGGGACTCTCTGCAGAGTACTGAGCAGAACGGCAGAACAGGGAATCACATGGCAAAGAGGCTGAATATGCTAGCTCAGGTCTCTCTTCCTTTTTTCTTTTTGTTTGGAGACAGAGTCTCATTCTGTCACCCAGCCTGGGACTACAGGTGGCACTACAGGCACACACAACCACATCCAGCTAGTTATTTTTTTAGTTTTTGTAGAGACAGAGTCTCACTATGTTGCCCAGACTGGTCTCAAACTCCTGGGATCAAGCAATCCTCCTGCCTTGGCCTCCCAAAGTACAAGGATTACAGGCATGAGCTACTGCATCCAGCCCCTTTCTCTTCTTAAAAAGCAATGAGTCAGTCTCACTCCCATGATAATCCACTAACACATTAATCCATGAATGAATTCATGAGGGCAGAGCCCTCATGACCCAATCACCTCTGAAAAACCACACTTCTCAATATTGCCACAATGGAAATTAAGTATCAACAGAAGTTTTGGAGGGGAGAAATATTCAAACGATAAGCGAGGTTTAAAGAAAAGCCATCTCCATGACATGTAAGTATAAAGTGAAGCAGTAAGTACTAATACAGTAACAGAAGCTGCAGTAAGTTATCCAGAAGATCTGGCTAAGATAATTGATAAATGTGGCTTCATTAAACCACAGATTTTCAATGTAAACAAACAATCTTCTACTGAAAGAAATGCTATCTGCCGGGCGTCGTGGCTCACGCCTGTAATCCTAGTGCTTTGGGAGGCAGAGGTGGGTGGATCACAAAGTCAGGAGGTTGAGACCATCCTGGCTAACACAGTGAAACCCCGTCTCTACCAAAAACACAAAAAATTAGCCAGGTGTGGTGGCAGGCGCCTGTAGTCCCAGCTACTCGGGAGGCTGAGGCAGGAGAATGGCGTGAACCCAGGAGGCGGAGCTTGCAGTGACCCAAGATCACACCACTGCTCTCCAGCCTGGGCAACAGAGCAAGACTCCATCATAAACAAATAAATAAATAAATGCTATCTAAGACTTTCATAGCTAGAGAGAAGTCAATGACTGGCTTCAAAGCTTCAAAGGACATGCTGACTCTCGTTAGAGGCTAACACAACTGGTGACTTTAAGTTGTAGCCAATGTTCATATCCCATTCCAAAAATCATACGGCCCTTAAAAATTATGCAAAATCTACTCTGCCTGTGCTGTATAAATGGAACAACAAAGCCTAAATGACAGCACATCTGCTTAGAGCACTGTTTACTGAGTATTTTAAAACCATTGTTGAGACCCACTGCTCAGGAAAAAAGATTTCTTTCAAAATATTATTGCTCATTTACAATGCACCTGGTCACTCAAGAGTTCTAACGGCAAAGTACCAAGCTAAACAGGAAAAAGAGAAGACACAAAAGTGTTAAAAACCCTAATAATTAGATATGTCTGGATTAACAAATCCATAAAACTTTCTCCAACTCTCCCAAAGAATCAATCACTCCCTCTACAGTGCTTATACAACACTTGACATAATTTATATTCCTACTCTAGCATTTATCGTATCACATTATTTATATGTATCTCATCAATTACAATTATTTCCTCTAAGACAACCACCATGCTTTATTCATTTTTGTATTCCCAGAAAAGTATAAGAAACATACCAGCTGATAATACTTATTTTATGAACAGGTTAAATTTATACACTTCAAAGACCAAAATAATTTCTGTTAGAGAAATTTTGATCTTCCTAAGATCATTTCAGCACGAGAATTTTAAAAGATTTGAATTAAATTAGCCAACCAATACAAATACCAAATCCAAATCCACTTTACAGCTAATGGAATTTGAAAGGCTAATTTCCTCACCCATAATCAAGAAACCACACTCTATAGACCTAATATAAAGACAAACACTAAACACTTACTGCCCATAGTCTTTATATAAAGTATACCCTGCTATATCAGAGAATTTCTGGTCATGCAAAAACAAAAGTGGGATTAAAGAAGAAAACCTTTACAAATGATGCCTTCCTTTTTGTTTATCCCAGCACACCTTATTAAGGCCAACAAATCTTAAGACATAACAATCAGAATTATAGTATATTAGTTTAGTTTTAATTATCTATATTTCAGTTCTGTTTCTATACTTCAGGCCCATTTGGCTCTCCAGAGAGCAAATATCATTACGTTATGTAGGGTCACAAAGAAAACTCTAATTTAGAGGAAAACAATTCTATAATTATTAATAATAGTGCCTATGACCTTCCTAGTGTTTCTAAGTTTCCTACAAGATGATCAGAATTCTTAAGATAGTGAACGAAAAATAAATGACTATTTTTAAAAAGATAAGCAACATTGCCCCCATGTTTTAAAAAGGGTCCTAATTATTTTAGTAAATTTGCATTATTCTCTTCAGTATTAGCATCTGAAAACTTTTTTAAATGTCCCATATTTCATTAAATGCATACTTGGATGTACACACTTCCATTTTAAAATGTACTATAGGCTATCAATGAGATGACTAAGTGGCATTTTACTAAGTAATGCCCCCCACAGTGCCTGACACTTTATATATAAATAATAAACATTTGATTAAGTCTACAAATATTTAAGCTTCTTATTACATAGCAGACACTGCTCTAACCAAAGGCTATTACACTATGGTAAACCCAATATATATGGATGGCCCTTGCCTTCACAGAGGCTTCAGTCTTGTAAAAAGAAAATTACCCTGTTCACTTCCTTCACTCTACCTGCCACATTTGGCAGGTAGAGTGAAGGAAGAGAAAAGGGTGATATTAGTGGGCTTGTGGGGAGGTTGGGGTTATCCTACTTTATACTGGAATATTATCTAATATTTACGAAGCCTCTCTGAGGACAGAACATTTGAGAAGAGACCTCAAAAGATCTGGGCCAGCCAAGGATTTAAAGAAATTATCATTCCAGGTTATGGGAACAATATGTGGAAAGGCGCTGAGGCAAGTTTCGGAAACTGAAAAGTCAGTGAAACTTATCACAGAAAACCTAAGGATAAGTAGATTTCGAAGAAACTGGCAAAGAGCCACATAATGTACAGTCTTGTACCACATTTAAGGATTTAAAGTTTTAAGTACATTGAAAAATCTACAATGAAGCATTATAGGGGAAATGGATGAAAGAAAGACCAAGATATAGAATGCCAGAAGGCCTTGGCCCAACATCAAAATCTTGGTAAATAAATGTATACCTCGATTTCAAGTTAAAATAAAATGTTTAAAGTGTATGTATGTTATGTTTTTATGACTCCTAACTTTAAACAACTTCTTCAATTAACCCATCATTTACTAGATCTGATCACATTCTCTCCCTTTCCTTTACATGTCCATACTAGCAGATGTAGAACTGAGTAGTAACAGGTCAAATGTGGAGAATAAAAGTACACAGATAATAACAAACTGGGAAATCAGCCTCTGAATAACTGAGCTGACTAGTTTTTCTACAGGTTGGTGTAGAAGGGGAGCAGGGATCTATATAGTAGACAGATAGCATTCTGAACTCTTTAAATTTTAACCATATGCATTCTTTTTAAATCAAAGCATTGACTTTAATTATTTCTTACTAGAAAGCAGTTTAAAATAACTGCTTGCCAAAACATTGCCAAATCACCCAGAATTAGTGATTGTTAGCTATAACTTTGTGAGATTATCCTTGCATCTTCACCATCTGCCTGAAATTCAGCTACGTAGAGAATTTCCTTGGGAGTTTCTATGTCCAATATTCTATTTGGTAAACATCTTTCATCTTTATCAAAATAAGTGTGAGCATCAGCGCCCAAAAAGCACTAGAAGTCAACATAAAACTCTCTTAGAATTAAAAGAAAATTTTTAAGAAATTTTTTTTTTTTTTTTTTGAGATGGAATTTCGCTCTTGTTGCCCAGGCTGGAGTGCAATGGCGCAATCTCGGCTCACCGCAACCTCCGCCTCCCGGGTTCAAGCGATTCTCCTGCCTCACCCTTCCCAAGTAGCTGGGAATACAGGCATGCACCACCACTCCTGGCTAATTTTGTATTTTTAGTAAAGACGGGGTTTCTCCATGTTGGTCAGGCTGGTCGCGAACTCCCGACCTTAGGTGATCCGCCCACCTTGGCCTCCCAAAGTGCTGGGATTACAGGTGTGAGCCACCGCGCCCCGACTTTAAGCAAATTTTAAAGTAAATGTACACAATAATCCAGTGATCCATCTGCAAAATTCTGTCCCAGGAAAATACTTGCCAATATATCAAAGTACAATTACAAGGACACACATGTCAGCATTGCTTTCAAAGGGGGTGCAGGAAGGAGGGAATCTAAACATTTAACAATAAGGAGACAGTTAATTAAGTTATGTGGTATTATGCTGCCACAGAACAATATCCAAAATATACTCAGCCCATTATAAGGTCATTTTTTAAAAGGCATATGCTTATTAAACAATGTATAGGGAGAAGTAGAATTGCACTTTTTACTTGTATTCTTCTTTAAATGTGCTACAACTATCACATACTAACCAGCATTTTAAAATAAAGGAGAAAATTTCAAGAAATAATTATTTGAATGTATAATTTTATATTTATTCAAATAAAACCAAAAAAGCAATTTAATTATAAATAAAACCTTCTAAAAGAAGTAAAATTTAAAATTACCCTTCACTGTACTTTAGCTCTAAAATTCTCAAAGCAAGCTGCCTACACTTTTCTCCACCTCAGTTGGTATATTTACTTGCTTACTGAATGATCCCTAACCGGTAGATTTTGAAGTTATTAACGGCAATCATTTTTGCACCAACCTAATAGATCTAAAAGATTATAAGGCATCTTAAGGTGTCCCCATATTTTGCAGATACTGTCACTACAAACAAAAGGATAGCAGAGAGCACTGACAGATCTCTCCCAGGTTCCTCCTTTCCCTAGAAACACTTCATTGAAATCTATAACCCAAAGAGGTCAAGAATCATTGCCCTATAGAGCAAACAACAAGTTAGGCAGGGAAGGGTTGCCACCACAACTGTACCCCAACCTTGAGTGACCTTTAGAAACACCTCCCACACCACTTAGAGGTTGAGCATCTTCTTAAATAAAGTAGACATCGCTAGCATACACCTGCCAAAAGTAAAATCTAATTACCTTTGGCTACTAGGAATTGAAGAAATAAATAAAGAGACTAGTCTTAGTCTGGGAATATGAGTTTCTAAATCCATAGTTTACAAGGGATTAACACCATAAAATTTCACGAAACTTCTGTGTTAGCAGAGACTCTAGGCAAGAACAGCTACCACAGACTTCATTTTTTAGTTTTATATGGAAGATCCCAGGCAAAGATCAACCTGCAAATATTAATCTGCAAAGCCCCAATTTGTCTGGGATATTCTGAAAGTACTCTGGAGGTTACTTTCCTGAGCTTAAAAGTGTTTCGTTTTTGTTTTAATTTATTTTTTTAAAAATGCTGACAGATTTCGTTTTGGACATTTTAAGTGAATTTAAATTTATGATGTCATTTCATTCACTGCTAGTGGGGATGCAAAATAATACAGCTACTTTGGAAGATAGTCTGATGGTTTCTTACAAAACTAAACACAGTCTTACCATATGACCCCACAATTGCACTCCCTGGTATTTACCCAAATGAGTTGAAAACGTATTCATACAAAAACCTGCGCATGGATATTTACAGCAGCTTTATTCATAACTGTCAAACCTTGCAAGCAGCCAAAATGTCCTTCAGTAGATGAACAGACAGACTGTGGTACATCCAGACAAAATGTAATACTATTCCATGCTAAGAAATGAGTGACAAAGCCACGAAAACACAAAGGAACAGTAAATGCATTTTACTAGGTGAAAGAAGCCAATCTGCCGGGCACGGTGGCTCACACCTGTAATCCCAGCACTTTGGGAGGCCGAGGTGGGCAGATCACGAGGTCAGGAGATCAAGACTATCCTGGCTAACACGGTGAAACCCCGTCTCTACTAAAAAAAAACAAAAAATTAGCCGGGCATGGTGGTGGGTGCCTGTAGTCCCAGCTACTTGGGAGGCTGAGGCAGGAGAATGGCGTGAACCCAGGAGGCAGAGCTTGCAGTGAGCCGAGATCGCGCCACTGCACTCCAGCCTGGGCAACAGAGTGAGACTCCATCTCAAAAAAAAAAAAAAAAGCCAATCTGAAAGGGCTGTATATTCTGTGACTCAACTGTATCACATTCTGGAAAAGGCAAAAGTATTGAGGCAAGACAAACTAGGGTCCAGGGAGGGAGGAATAGGCTGAAGACAGGATTTTTAGAGCAGTGAAACCATTCCATATGATACTAATAATGGTGGACACACGTCACTATACATTTGTCAAAACCCATAGAATGTATAACATCAATAGTGAAATCTAATATAAACTACAGACTTAAGGTGAAGAAATGATGTGTCAAGTAGGTTCATCAGCTGTAACAAATTTACTACCCTGATGTATGAATGTCGATAGTGGGGAAGGCTGTGCACGTTGTGTAAGGGCAGGGGTATGCAGGAACTGTCTGTACTTTCTGCTCAGTTTTGCTGTGGGCCTAAAACTGCTTTAAAAAATAAAGTATATCTTTAGGCCGGTTACAGCGGCTCGCACAGTGGCTCACACCTGTAATCCCAAGACTTTGGGAGGCCAAGGCAGGAGTATCACTTAAGCCCAGAAGTTCGAGACCAACCTAGGCAACAAAGCAACACCCCAGTGAGCCGTGATCTTCACCACGGCAGGGCCTGGGCAAAAGAGTGAGTTGAATAATGTATCTGTTTTTATTGGCATCCATTTTAATAAAATTTGGAAGAAAATGCTAATAATAGATCAAGAAAATATACAAATTGTATCTACAACTCTCGCCTCATCTTTATGTGAAGTACATCAACTTTTCAAGGTATATAAAGATGAAAACAATAATATATGCCTTAAAGGGGCTCACAGTCTAATAGGAAAGAGATAATAAGGGAACTATTATAACTCAGTGTTATTATGCATGCTGTTATGAAACTACAGAATCACACAACTCTAAAACACATGCATATAAAGAAATAGCTTTAGAAAAATATTACAACATGTTCACAGAAGTTATTTCTGGTTTTCTATAATAAATATAAATAACTTAGTGGGAAAAAAATGTCTTAAGAAACTTTAAATAGCCATACTGAGAAAGGCAACATGAAAGAAAATCAAAATAGTTGATGTATTTGTCAGGGCAACACATATTTGCAGTTCTAATTTTTTACATTCTACACTGTTGTAGAGCTGTTTACGGGGGGAAGTAAAAGTCTTAAATGCTAACAAAGATTCACTCAAGTGGGGAGAGAGGATAGGATGGGAGGCAGGACCTTCAGGAGCTTGACTGTGGAAATATTCAGACTCAGAATTATGTCCCAACTCCAACAGCTTCAAAAATGGCTTAAACTATAATTTCACTGCTTAAACTATAATTTGTGATTTATGGGTCTTGCCTTTTCACTTCATCTTTTGACTAAAACCTACAGCTGGCCCTCTTCCCCTGAGATCCAGTGTTTAATAACCTCTACAGTCAGAAAGCTGTTCTTTACCTCTAACCAAAGTATTTTATGATAATCTCAATTTCGTCTTCTAGGAATTGAAGGGGTGGGAGAGACAAGAACCATTTCGACTTAGAAATTTTACAAGCTTGAAAACTATTAAGGTCACTTACTAACTTTCTCTCAACCAAAATACAGAGAAATTCCACTAATTCTGGTAATTAGCTTAGAAAGCCTATGCTTCATCTCCTTAATGCATATTTCATTTTTTTTTCCCCGAATCTCCTCAGTTTCTTCCCATAGCCCTGAAACTACACAGCTAAACCAAATTATTTAATATGAAGCCAATTAGGGTTAAGTAAAGCAAGTGGTTACTCAACAGTCCACGGAGGACACAGTTATATTAATTCAACCCAAAGTTGCTTTTTAACATGATCTGTATTACTTATCCATCTGCATCAGAACTTAGACTACCTAACCACTGTAACTGTCAAATCTCCATAGGATTTCTTCTATCCTGAAATTTATTACCATTTATATTTCTCCCTCATTTATGCTATTTTAAAATATCTTCTTAAATTAGGGAGGGAGTACAGTATAGTAGTAGTTAAAAGACACAAAGGTGCAGACACTCTTTGTTACCTATGTAAATAATCATTCCTACCCACCTCCCTTCTTTCTGTTGGCAGAGCCCTTAATTTGTTTAAGCTGTCTCCCTTACTGGCATATGCTCAGGAATAGTGACCTTACACACATACTCTCTCTTCACAGCCCTACTAATGGTGGTTACAGTCCCTTAGTATCTGTGGGGGCTTGATTCCAGGATCCCCCATGGATACCAAAATCCACAGATGATGCTCAAGACCCTTGTACAGGCTGGGCATGGTGGCTCACGCCTGTAATCCCAACACTTTGGGAGGCCGAGGTGGGCAGATCACGAGGTCATGAGATCGAGACCATCCTGGCTAACACGGTGAAACCCCATCTCTACTAAAAATACAAAAAATGAGCTGGGCGTGGTGGCAGGCACCTGTAGTCCCAGCTACTCGGGAGGCTGAGGCAGGAGAATGGCGTGAACCTGGGAGGCGGAGCTTGCAGTGGGCCGAGATCACGCCACTGCACTCCAGCCTGGGTGACAGAGCAAGACTCCGTCTCAAAAAAAAAAAAAAAGAAAAAAAGAAAGACCCTTGTATAAAATGATTAGTAGCTAGGCACAGTGGCACATGCACATAATTCCAGCTACTTGGGAGACCAAAGTGAGAGGATCACTTAAGCATAGGAATTCAAGACCAACCTGGACAATACAGCAAGACCTCATCTCTTTAAAAAAATCAAAATAAAATAATATGGCTTAGTACTGGCATATAACCTATATACATCCTAAGTTTAAGCTACTTTTCTGGTGTTAGTTGTAGCAAAAAAGAACCTAATAGAAAAGAGTTTACATCTCAGTTCTGCCACTTATAAACCATATCATATAGGACAAGTTACTCAATCTCCCTGTATCCTCTGTTTTCTCGTCTGTGAATTAAATGTAAGAGAAGTGCCCACTTCACATATTGATCTTAAATGAAATAATGCAGGTAAAGCATGAAACAAGTACCAGGCACAGAGTGTTTTAATAATTATTAAATTATCAAGAGTGAATATATGAACACAAATAAGCAAATTTTAAAACACAACAAGAAATATATATTATTCAGAGGCTACCAGGTACTATTTTCACAAAATAAAAGTAAAACTTGGCCAGATGCGGTGGCTCATGCCTGTAATCCTAGCACTTTGGGAGGCCAAGGCACGAGGATAACTGAAGCCCAGGAGTTCGAGACCAGCTTGGGCAACAAAGCGAGATCTTGTCTCTACAAAAAAATATAAAAAATTAGCCAGGCGTGGTGGCATATGCCTTCAGTCCCAGCCACTTGGGAGGCTAAGGCAGGAAGATCCCTTGAGCCCAGGAGTTCAAGGCTGCAGTGAGCTATGATCACACTATTGTACTCTAAGGTAGGTGACAGAGTGAGACCTTATCTCAAAAAAATGTACAACTTAAGCAAAGTTTATCAATTATGGCTTTCAAATTTTAGCTAATGGAGGAAATAGCAAGTTTCCAATTGTCATGATTACATGCATCACTATCATTGTATCATTATTCTAGTACTAATGAAAGACCTCAAGAACATATAAAGCGGCAGTAAAGAGTGCTAAGAAATGACAGTGTGGTCACACCAACTTGCCCAAGGTTACAACAGTGGAGTCAGGGTTCAAACCAGGTCTGTCTGGCTCTAGAACTACTAGTTCTCTGCCACTCCAAATCCTGTGTGTGTGTTTTCACTAAACTATTTTGTTGTTTATAGATCTGAATTGGAAGCTATTCTTATACAGGATCAGTACCCTGAACTTAGCAACTGATATAAAGGTATCCCTTATGGAAATCTCAACTAATTCTTTATTCCTTTTAGGAAGAAGAGTCTTAAGAATATGCATTATAAAACATGTTTCAATGAAGTTATTTAAAAAATGTTTGCTCCAGCATACTCTTGCTATCTCCAAGGAATATATTCTGAGACTTTAACAAATGTCCAAATTCTTGAATACTACTAACATATTATTTTCTACATTAAATGCATACATAAGATGAAAAAGTAACATTGAACAACAAATTGCTGGGCTTATACAGGGCTTGCTCTATTCCAGCTATTCCCAAAGTGTGGTCCATGGACCCCAGAAGTCCCCCAAGACCCTTTCAGAGAGTTCATAAGGTCAGAGCAATTTTCCTAATAATACTGAGACATTATTTGCTTTTTTCACTGTGCTAATGTGATGATGCAAAAGCAATGGTGGGTAAGATTGCTGGTGTCTTAACACAAATGAAACAGCAGCACCAAAGTATACTGGTAGTCACTGTACAACCATATATGCTCAGTTAAAAAGTGTGTGTGTGTGTGTGTGTGTGTGTGTGTGTGTGTGTGCACGTGCTAAGACTGTCTTTAATGAAACAGTAAAAATTATCTCCAACCTTTTGAGCACACATCTTTTTAACATTCTATGTGACAAAGTAGGAAATACACAAAGTATTTCTGCTGCACACCAAAGTATAATAGTTTTCAGAAGAAAATGCACTTGTGCAATTGTTTGAGTGGCAAGTTAAATTAACCATTTTCTTCACAGAGTACCATTTTTACTTTAAAGAACAACTAACTGACAAACTATAGTTGTAAGGACTTGGGTATTTGGAAGACATTTTCTCTCAATGGAACAAGCTAACACAGTCAATTCGAAGAAAACAACTGACAGTATTTGTTGCCAATGATAAAATTTTAGCTTCAAGCAAAAAAAAAAATCAGCTTAGGCTAAGGCAAGAGGATCGCTTGAGCCCAGGAGTTTGAGTACAGCCTGGGCAACACAGCAAGACCCTGTCTCTTGAAAAATAAAAAATAAAAAAAAACTAGCTTAACAGCCTCACACTACTTAAAAGACTTTTCTGGGATTGTTTTGTTTTGTTTTGTTTTTGTTTGTTTTACTTTCAGTTTTGGGATACATGTGCAGAATGTGCAGGCTTGTTACATAGGTATACATGTGCCATGGTGGTTTGCTGCACCTATCAACCCGTCACCTAGGTTTTAAGCCCTGCATGCATTACCTGTTTTTCCTAATGCTCTCCCTTCCCTTGCCTCCCAACCCCCAATAGGCCCCAGTATGTGATGTTCCCCTGCCTGGGTCCATGTGTTCTTACTGTTCAACTCCCACTTATGAGTGAGAACATTCGGTGTTTGGTTTTCTGTTCCTTTGTTAGTTTGTTGAGAATGATGGCTTCCAGCTTCATCCATGTCCCTGCCAAGGGCATGAACTCATTCTTTTTTATGGCTGCATAGTATTCCATGGTGTATATGTGCCACATTTTCTTTATCCAGTCTATCACTGATGGGCACCTGGGTTCATTCCAAGTCTTTGCTATTGTAAATAGTGCTGCAATAAACATACGTGTGCATCTGTCTTTATGGCAGAATGATTTATAATCCTTTGGGTATATACCCAGTAATGAGATTGCTGGGTCAAATGGTATTGCTGGTTCTTTATCCTTCAGGAATTGACACACTGTCTTCCACAATGGCTGAACTAATTTATACTGCCACCACCCATCTCAGCCCAAAAACTCCTTAAGCTGATAAGCAACTTCGGCAAAGTCTCAGGATACAAAATCAATGTGCAAAAATCACAAGCATTCCTATACACCAACAGACAAGCAGAGAGCCAAATCAGGCCATTCACAATTGCTACAAAGAGAATAAAATAACTAGGAATACAACTTATAAGGGACATGAAGGACCTCTTCAAGGAGAACTACAAACCACTGCTCAAGGAAATAAGGGAGGACACAAACAAATGGAAAAACAGTCCATACTCACGGATAGGAAGAATCAATGTCGTGAAAATGGCCATATGCCCAAAGTAATTTATAGATTCAATGCTATTCCCATCAAGCTACCATTGACTTTCTTTGCAGAATTAGAAAAAACTACTTTAAATTTCATATGGAACCAAAAAACAATCCATATAGCCAAGACAACCTTAAGCAAAAAGAACAAAGCTGGAGGCATCATGCTACCTGCCTTCAAACTATACTACAAGGCTACAGTAACCAAAACAGCATGGTACTGCTACCAAAACAGATATACAGACCAATGGAACAGAATAGAGACCTCGGAAATAACACCACACATCTACAACCAGCTGATCTTTGACAAACCTGACAAAAACAAGCAATGGGGAAAGAATTCCCTACTTAATAAATGGCGTTGGGAAAACTGGCTAGCCATATGCAGAAAACTGAAACTGGACCCCTTCCTTACACCTTATACAAAAATTAACTAAAGATGGATTAAAGACTTAAATGTAAAACCCAAAATCATAATAACCCTAGGAAAAAACCTAGGCAATGCCATTCAGGACATAGGCATGGGCAAAGACTTCATGACTAAAACGCCAAAAGCAATTTTAATAAAACCCAAAATTGACAAATGGGATCTAATTAAGCTAAAGAGCTTCTGCACAGCAAAAGAAACTATCATCAGAGTGAATAGGCAACCTACAGAACGGGAGAAAATTTTTGCAATCTACCCATCTAACTATGGTCTAATATCCAGAATCTACAAGAAACTTAAACAAATTTACAAGAAAAAAACAAACAATCCCATCAAAAGTAGGCGAAGGATATGAACAGACACTTCTCAAAAGAAGACATTTATGCGGCCAACAAACATAAGAAAAAAAGCTCATCATCACTGGTCATTAGAGAAACGCAAATCAAAACCAAAATGAGATACCATCTCACGCCAGTTAGAATGGTAATTATTAAAAAGTCAGGAACCAACAGATGCTGGCAAGGCTGTGGAGAAACAGGAACGTTTTACACTGTTGGTTTTGTTTTGTTTTGTTTTGAGAGAGGGTCTCACTCTGTCGCCCAGGCTGGAGTCCAGTGGTGTTATCTCAGTTCACTGCAACCTTGACCTCCTGGGTTCAAGCAATTGTCCTTCTTCAGCCTCCCGAGTAGCTGGGATTACAGGCGCCCACCACCATGCCCAGCTAATTTTTTTGTATTTTCAGTAAAGGTTTCACCATGTTGGTCAGACTGGTCCCAAACTTCTGACTCAAATGATCTGCCTGACTTAGCCTCTCAAAGTGCTGGGATTACACACGTGAGCCACCATGCCCAGCCCTTAGAAGACTTTTCTGATGACACTGATGGCAGTATTAACAAATGTTGACCTTTTTTTTTTTTTTTTTTTTTTTTTTTTTTTTTCTGAAAAAGGGTCTCCCTCTGTTGTCCATGCTGGAGTACAGTGGTGCCATGTCAGCTCACTGCAACCTCCGCCTCCTAGGCTCAAGTGATCCTCCCATCTTAGCCTCCCAAGTAGTTGGGACTACAGGCATGTGCCACCATGCCTGGCTAAGTTTTTTGTATTTTTGGTAGAGACAGCGTTTCACCATGTTGCCCAGGCTAATCTTGAACTCCTAAGCTCCAGCGATCCGCCCGCCTCGGCCTCCCAAAGTGCTAGGATTACAGGCGTGAGCCACCATGCCCAGCTTGACTTCTTTATATTGTATAATAAGATGTGCCAATATTATAAAGATCTGCATAAATCAGTGAACCAATGCCTTACAAATGACGAGTTATAAAATTACACATAGATAAAAGATCCATTCAAACTGCAAGACAGACCAGTGGATTTTAAATGTAACAGGTTACAAAAAGTTCATTAATGTGATGTAAGATTTTACATGGCAACTAACCATTAATATAAAACTACCAACTGTAGAATTCTGGTGTGATATGAAAGAAAAATATCAACATTACCTTAAAAGACTATTAAAATACTCCTCCCTTTACAAGCTACATATGAGGCCAGCTTTTCTTTGGATATTTCAACCCAAAAAGCATACTGCAATAGGGTGAATGCAGTGACAAATATGAGAATTTGTCTGTCTTCTACAAAGCCAGACATTACACAGGTTTGCAAAATCTAAAACAATGCTGTCTTCTCGCTAAACTGTTAGTAATACAGGACTATTATAAGAATTAAGTAATACTGGCTGGGCACGGTGGCTCATGTCTCTAATCCCAGCACTCTGAGAGGCCAAGGAGGGCAGATCACCTGAGGTCAGGCGTTCAAGACCAGCCTGGCCAACATGGTGAAACTCCATTTCTACAAAAATACAAAATGTAGCCAGGCATGATGGTGGGTGCCTGTAATCCCAGCTACTCAGGAGGCTGAGGCAGGAGAATCGCTTGATCCTGGGAGGCAGAGGTTGCAGTAAGCTGAGATCGCACCATTGCACTCCAGCCTGGGCAACTGAGCAAGACTCCGTCTCAAAAAAAAAAAAAAAAAAAAGTAGCCGGGCGTGGTGGCACGTGCCTGTAGTCCCTATTCAGGAGGTTGAGGTAGGAGAACTGCTTGAGCCCAGCAGGCAGAGGTTACAGTGAGCCAAGATAGCAAGACTCTGTCTCAAAAAAAAAAAAAAAGAAAAAAGAAAGCCTGTAGTCTAATGCAGAAACAGGCAAGTTGCAATACAATGTGATTAGTATGACAACAAAGAGGAAAACTGAATGCTTTAAAAGCACAAATGAGAGATTTCTAACAGAGACCACAGTCTCAAGAAAGGCTTTTTAAGATGATATCTATGCTCAGACCCCAACTTCATGCCATCCAGAACAAAAAGACGACATGGTTCATGCTCTCTAAAAATTCTTGGTACCCAAGTGGTTAAGAACCATAACTCTGGTATCTAAGTAATTTCTAACTACAGTTATATAATATTGTACTGAACAATGTCTAGCATTCCATAATCTACTGGTCTGTGTCATATACAAGAAAATTAAATCTATGGTTATTCAAAGCCTTTTAGAAATCAATCATGCTGAAAAAAACAATTTGATAACTGTACTAAGTTTACCCCCTGGTTTTCATCCTATTTCATATTTTAAAAATCTTAGTAATATAAATACTTTGACACCTTCATAAATTTACTGTGATAGCTAGTTTTAGTTGTCAACTTGACTAAACTAGGGGATACCCAGATAGCTAGTAAAAGCATTATTTCCGCATTTGCCTATGAGGGTGTTTCCCAAAGAGACTGCCATTTGAATCAATAGACTGAGTAAGAACGATCTACCCTTACCCAGTGTGGGCAGGCACCATCCAATCTGCTGGGGGATAAGATAAAACAAAAAGGCAGAGGAAGGGCAAATTCACTCACTCTCTGTTCTGGAGCTCAGACATTTGTCTTTCTTGCCCTCTGACCTCAGAACTTCAGGTTCTCCAGCCTTTGGACTCCAGGACTTGCATCAGCAGCCCCCTAGTTTTTCAGCCTTCAGCCTCGAATTGAGAGTTATTTTGCAAAAACCTCAATCACTTTTGCACCAACCTAATACAATGTTGGCTCTGCTGGTTCTCAGGCCTTTGGACTTGAAATGAGCTACTGGTTTCCCTAGTTCCCTAGTTTGCAGACGGCCTATCACGGGATTTCTCAGCCTCCATAATTGTGTAAGCCAATTCCAACAGATCTGTATCTACACATAGCTATCCTATTGGTTCTGTTTCTCTGAAGAATCCTAACTAATATATATACTATACAGGACATATATTTCATGTCTTCTTGGTAACAGAGAGCACAGCAAACTTTCATTATTATTCTATAGTATTACAAATACATTTGATACCCTTAAAGCTAATTTAGTTGTCCAAGGATGTTTTCCTTGTATTATCTATGACTTATTCAGTTGTGTGTGTGTGTGTGTGTGTGTGTGTGTGTGTGTGTGTATTTTTTTTCCAATTTCTTCATTGCTATCATGTTGTCAGAAATCTGTCTTGTTATCAGTATGTTTATTGCAGCATCTTGCTGCTTGTAAATTATTCCTCCTTAATCTACTACAACCTTAGAAACCTTAAGTATCATATATAAAGTAAAAATAAGCTCTCAGCGACAGCCTAAAGAGCTTTATTTATAAAGAATTTCTTATTAAACTGACAACTATTTGGGGGCTTTTGTAATGTTTCAGAGAGATGAGGTACTGCCACTGAGTCTAGATAGGTAAAGACTTACTATTTCAAAGTTTCATACCTATATCTAAAATATCCCTCTTGCTTTCTATAAACTCAACTCAGATATTCCAGACAGCCTTACTTGAAACCCAGATCAGTTTACATATCCTTCTGAAGACACACCTTGTGGTGCCCCTTCCTTGCCACTCTCTATTCATCTGTTTCCCCAATAAGACTGTCAGCTCTTCAACAATCTCTCATCTCTGCTTCTCCAGCACAAAACCCATATTCTACCTTATAAATAAATACTTGTTGAAAAAAAAACGACAGAGAATGAAACCAACTGTATAAAAAGCCATAAACTTACTACATAAAATTAAAATGACCTTTCATATATATAATGATATTAAGTTTCTTCTCAAAATGCACACTCAGGAAATCCAAATTTGAGAGGAAGTCATAAGAAATGCATTAAGAACCAAGTATGTAATAATGTAATAGTAAGCCACTTCACCCACCCCATCCTCTAAAAAATCTTTTTAACAGCCGGGTGCTGTGGCTCACGCCTGTAATCCCAGCACTTTGGGAGGCTGAGGTGGGCAGATTACCTGAGGTTGGGAGTTTGAGACCAGCCTGACCAACATGGAGAAACGCCATCTCTACTAAAAATACAAAACTAGCCGGGCATGGTGGTGCACGCCTGTAATCCCAGCTACTCGGGAGGCTGAGGCAGGAGAATCACTGGAACCTGGGAGGCAGAGGTTACGGTGAACCGAGACCATGCCATTGCACTCCAGCCTGGGCAACAAGAGTGAGACTCCATCTTAAAAAAAAAAAAAAAATCTTTTTAACTTGGAGGGGAAAAAGCAAAACACCATAGCTGCATCTTACTCAGATAATTATATATTTATATTCAATCTAAGTGCAACTGACATTTAAAGAATGTTTGCTAAAATAGCTTAAAGAAGTAAACACTAATATCTATAATAAAACCTTAAAACCCCTAGAAGAAAACACAAGGGAAAAGCTCCCTGATATTGTTCGGCCTTGGCAATGATATTGGTGGATACTACACCAAAAGCTCAAACAACAAAAGCAAAAATAAATAAGTAGGACTACATCAAACTAAAAAGCTTCTCCAAAACAAACAACAAAATGAAAAGGCAGCCTATGGACTGGGAGAAAATATTTGCAAACTATGTATCTGGTAAAGGGTTAATATCCAAAATACATAAGGAACTCTCACAACTCAACAGCAAAAAACAAAACAAAACGAAATAACCCAATTAAAAAATGGGCAAAGAACCTAAAGAGACATTTTTCCAAAGAAGACATACAAAGGGCCAACAGGTATATGAAAAAGCACTGAAAACATCACTAATTATCAGGGAAAAGCAAATCGAAACCACAATGAGCTATCACCTCACACCTGTTTGGATGGCTATTATCAAAAAGACAAAAGTGTTGGCCAAAGTGTGGAGAAAAGGAAACCCTTGTACACTGTTGTTGAAAATGTAAATTGCTACACAGACATTACGGAAAATGGTATAGAAGTTCCTCAAAACATTAAAAATAGAACTGCCTATGATCCAGCAATCCCTCTGCTGGGTATACACCCAAAGAAACTGAAATCAGCACCTCATAGAGATATATGCTTTCACATATTCATTGCAGCATTATTCACAATAGCCTAGATTATGGAAACAACCTAAGTGTCTGTCCTAAGATGAACAGATAAAGAATTTGTGGCATATATACACACACACACACACACACACACACACACACACACACACAAGGGAATATTATTCAGCCTTAAAAAAAAAAAAAGGAGATACTGTCATTTGAAACAACATAGATGAACCTGGAGGACACTATGTTAAATGAAATAAGCCAGACACAAAAAGAAAGACACTACATGATCTCATTTATATATGAAATCCTTTTTTTTACTTTTTATTTATTTATTTATTTAGATGGAGTCTCACTCTGTCGCCCAGGCTGGAGTGCAGTGGTGTAATCTCAGCTCACTGCAACCTCCGCCTCCCGGGTTAAAACGATTCTGCTGCCTCAGCCTCCTAAATAGCTGGGATTACAGGCACATGCCACCATGCCTGGCTAATTTTTGTATTTTTAGTAGAGACGGGTTTTCACCATTTTGGTCAGGCTGGTCTCGAACTCCTGACCTCGTGATCTGCCTGCCTCGGCCTCCCAAAGTGCTGGGATTACAGGCGTGAGCCACCACACCCAGCGAAATCCTTTTTTTTTTTTTTTTTTAAAGCTGAATACGCAGAAACAAGAGTATAGCCACAGTTACCAGGGGAAAGGAGGGGGACGAAATGGGAATAAGTAGGTCAAAGGGTACAAACTCGCAGTTATGTAGGATGAATAAGTCTAGAGAGCTAATGTATAGCGCGAAGTCTATAATTATTCATATTGTATAGTATATATAAAATTTGCTAAGACAGATTTTAGATGCTTATACCACAATTTTAAAAATTATAGAAGGAGATGGATAGGTTAATTTGCTTAACTGTAGTAATCATTTCATGATTTTGTATCTGTGTATCAAAACATAAAAATCATTTCATGATTTTGTATCTGTATATGTTTTGTATATGTATAGCAAAACATGCTGTATACCTTAAATATAAACAATTTTAGAAATGGACAAAGAAAGAATGGTGATTATTGATGATCTAAGCTAAAATAAAATTAAAAAGCTCTTTTGGGCATATCTCGCTAATTTGAGGATATTCTAACAGAAAATAAGTAACCCATAACAAAGACTCATAGATTATTGATGTTGGAAGGATCTTATAGGTCACCTGTTATTTACATATACTCCTCATTGCAGAAAGAATTCAGGCTGCTAGAGATCATCTGATCCACTTTTTATAATACATCCCTACATTTCTGCATTCCTCTACCTTTCACTCACAGATCCCTTGAACCCACACAAAATATGTCTTTATAGATAACTTTTCAAATATTCATCTGTTCAACTTATTTTATAGCATTACTGATTACAAACAAATATGTGTACAAGATTTCAAAGATTTCTTTGGTGTCTCAAATATTATCCAATAAAATGAATACACCAGAGACATCTGTGTGTTCTTTTGTACATCTTATCTTTTTTGATTCTCATAACTATCCTATGAAATGTGCAAAACAAGTACCATCCCATTTAAAGATTGTCAATACAGAGTAGTAGTAGAGAGTCACTGTGAGACAGATTTAGAAGCAAGAGATAACTGCCTCTCACAAGCTACGTGATTTTTTTTTTTTTTTTTTTTTTTGAAACAGCGTCTCACTCTGTCCAGGCTGGAGTGCAGTGGCGCAATCTCGGCTCACTGCAACCTCAGCCTCCCTGGTTCAAGCGATTCTCCTACCTCAGCCTCCCGAGCAGCTGGGATTACAGGCACATGCCACCACGCCTGGTTAATTTTTGTATTTTTAGTAGAGATGGGGTTTCACCATGTGGCCAGGATGGTCTCAATCTCCTGACCTCGTGATCTGCCCGCCTCGGACTTCCAAAGTGCTGGGATTACAGGCATGAGCCACGGCGCCTGGCTATGTGATCTTAGGTAAGTTACTGAAGTTCTCTAATCCTGCTTCCTCACCTGCAAACTGGAGATGATATTATAATCGTTCCTACCTCATATGGTTACTGTGAAGATTAGCGAGATAATGTACATTTTCTTATGTAATAACTACCCCATGTAAACACTCAATATTAGCTCATGGTTAATGTGCAAAGAGGAGAAAGAAGTTGTGTCTAAATTACTTATTCTCTCTGAATTTCACAGCAGCACTAGATCAAGAATTAAGGTTCTATGTTCTATCTACACTGTCTCCCACAAAACCAAAAATGTTTGTAGTTACTTGCATTTTAAGTATTTTTTTCCACCCTTGGATAACTGATAAAAATGTCTAAAAGCTACTATTATCCTCCTCTAAGTGAAATTCCCAAAAGTTGAAAAATTGTGCAGGGTTTAGTGGCTCACATCTGTAATTCCAATGCTTGGAAGGGCTGAGGCAGGAGGATTGCTTAAACCCAGGAGTCTGAGACCTGCCTGGGCAACATAGGGAGACTCCCATTTAAAAAATTAGCAGAGTGTGGTGGGTACAGTCCTATAGTCCCACCAGCTACTCCTGAGACGAAGGTTGGAGAATCGCTTTGAGACCAGAAGTTTGAGGCTGCAATGAGCTATGACCGTGCCACTGCACTCCAGCCTGGGCAACAGAGAGATACCCTGTCTCCAAAACATGAAAAAAAGGAAAAATTGTTAAAGGTCTGTCTTTAGAAAAGTAAATACTCAGTGGAACATAATGAAGTTACCATGCAACACAATGAAATTTATATTCAAAATAGGAAGTATTAGATTAACTGATAAACTGGTTTCTCTTTCCTACTATTACTAGATTATCTTTTAAAAAAACTTTATCTGGGCCAGGCACAGTCACTCACGCCTGTAATCCCAGCACTTTGGGAGGCCAAGGCTGGCAGATCACGAGTTCAGGAGTTTGAGACCAGCCTGGCCAACATAGTGAAAATACTACTAAAAATACAACAATTAACCAGACATGATGGCACGTGCCTGTGGTCCCAGCTACTCAGGAGGCTGAGGCAGGAGAATTGCTTGAACCTGGGAGGCAGAGGTCAGAGGCTGCAGTGAGCCAAGATCATGCCACTGCACTCCAGCCTGGGCGACAGAGCAAGACTCCGTGTCAAAAAAAAAAAACACCTTTATATTTTCAAATGGTAGGGATGGCTAATTTATTGTGTGTGATACCAACTGCAACAGGAGAAACCTGTTTCATCTATCAAAGCTATTGATAATGTTGACAAGAACTATAAAATGCATGTCAGAATGTTTTTTAACTTAAGAGGCCTACATTATCATATGTAAAATAACTCAGAAACAGAAAGTCAAATGCCGCATGTTCTCACTTATATGTGACAGCTAAACAATGGGTACACATGGACATACAGAATGGTGGATATTCAGGTGATGGGTATACTAAAAGCCCAGACTTCACCACATCTATACATGTAAGAATCTATACATGTAAGAAATCTGCACTTGTACCCCATAAATATTTTTTTAACTTTTAATTTTTTAAACTTAAGAGGCCTAGCCTCAGTGAAAATTTAAGCTGCATAATTCATGCTGAAAAATTTTCTATGTTCATTAGTGTTGGCAAAAAGGTCACCCTAGGATTTGAATAACAGTAATATTTAATTTCATTTCCCCATTAACTTTGCCAGGAATCTCACACTAGTGTTAAGGTAACTTCTAGAATACAGAAGGAAAAAAGGAATGGAGAGAAGAAGACATTAACTGAATTACCATTCAATACCAACTTGATCATGCAACTTGGTAATAGATCTTTGCGCAGACAACAGCAAATCAAAACATTAGTCCAAATATGACCACTGACTTCAGGGCAAATATGAGAGATTTAAAATGAAAGAATACAGTTCATGAGATTTAAAAAAAAATGGAAAAAAGCAATAATAAATGAATGAGGTCTGGTGATAAAACAGCTGCTCAATAACAAAATTATTCTAAAACAACTTCAGAAACCCTACTGTCTGCCAATATATATATAACCTCCCTTCAATGGTTGATTTTTCAATGGTCAATTTTTCACTAAAGTAGTATACTCTATTCAATTTTTTTTTTTTTTTTTTTTTTTTTTGAGACCGAGTCTCACTCTGTAGCTCAGGCTGGAGTGCAGTGGCACGATCTTGGCTCACTGCAACCTCCATCTCCCAGGTTCAAGGGATTCTTGTGCCTCAGCCTCCCAAGTAGCTGGGACTACAGGCACACACCACCACATTCGGCTAATTTTTGTATTTTTAGCAGAGGTGGGGTTTCACCATCTTGGCCAGGCTAGGCTCAAACTCCTAGCCTCAAGTGATCTGCCTGCCTTGGCCTCCTAAAGTGCTGGGATTACAGGTGTGGGCCACCACCCCCGGCCATCAATGTATGCAAGATAAATTGACTACAGAAAAATAAACTATTCAAAGAAACACCTAATAACCATTCTAACAACTATTCCTTTATACAATGCTCTCAGCAAAAGGCCTCACAATGACAATTACGACATCTTGAAGCACAGAAAACACTCCATGTAGTTTATAAAAAAAACTAGTGATATGTGTCTCTTAAACCTTCATAACTCAAAACCACAGGTTTGTATTTTTTCTAAAAATAATATTTATTTGCATCACTTGTAGTAGAAGTCTGATTCTTAAAGTCTTCTAATTTTGCTTACTGCTAATAATGAGAATGGTAAACGGGTGTATGTGTGGGGTAAAGGAGAAGTTGAGAAATTCCTCACTGGTATATGAATGAATTCCATACTTGCCTTTTAAAATGTGCTCCTTTCTTGAAATTGGGCATACAAAAACTCCCTTTGGGTTTGCATTACTTTCATATTTGTGAATACTCACATGGTAGTCTTCAAAGAGCTAGAACACTTGTTTTCAACCATTTGCCAGGTGGGTGTATTTTCACCACAAATTCCAAGAACTAATGATATGTAAATATATATGTATGTATGTCTACACATACATATATGCACACTATGTGTATGCGTGTATATCTTTACAAATGTTTACATAATTTAATTAAGGGCACCATCATTATACTTTTTACCACACACACAAAAAAAATGGTGGCAGAAAATCTGGAAAGATTCTAATAACCTCAATTCGTGAAAACTAACATGCCTCAAAAAAGAGGGGGAAAAAACTTTAACAGAAACACTGTGCTGACATGATTAGCTTTATCATTTAACTGGTGTGAGGCATCTGGGCCATGCCATATTTGAACTCTTATCGTGGTGTTTGGGGTGTGCTATATTGTGGAACAGGTCACATGAAACTGCTGACACCTTCTAAAATGGTAGGACAACATTTACATATTAGGAGCTTACATAACTGAAGAAAATCGTGTGGCAATGACACAATTCATATTTATTTTAGAACCACGGCTCATCTCAAAAACTCTTTATCAACTATCCAGAAGTAGCCCAGCTTTTTACCAACCAAGTAGTTATTTACTATAGCAACTTCTTTACCAACATTTCCAAAATTTTCCACACACTTCCATGATGAGCTATTAAGCAGTCTCTGTATGTGTTGTTACCTGGGCAACACTCTAAGAAGGCTTTTACCTTTACAGAACTGGTGGGTCAAAGAGAAGCAAGGCTTCTTCAAATCGACTACACACTATTTAATTAGAAGCAGTAAGTGTGAAATCATCAGCAGACAGAAAAGCTTGAGAACTGCCACCAGTACTTCAACTTGATTAACAGACACAACTTACTGGCATTTATACCTTCATTTCTAGCTACCCAATTCCCCTGTGAAACAAGGCAAGTTCCATCCAAGACTTCAAAACATCTTCAGTCATACAGGCTGTCAAAGACATAAATGCTGAAATCTAAGAAAATTCTTGGAATAAAGAAGCCATCAATTCCTTACAAGTGGATTTTGTATAAAATACCCTGCTTTGCTGCCCTAAATTCTAAAAGCTACTCAGCTTAGCTGCAGATCTGTATAAACTACCCTTCTGCCTGAACTAAACCTGCCTCCAAAAATTAAGATCCAGTCATTTAGAAATCACATTTTAGAAGGCCCTTGTAAAGACTTTCAAAACTGCTTCCTGTTCTACTACAGCCAATTTGACGCTAATGAAGAAAAACAAAAAACAAACAAAAAAAAAACACTGTCTCTCCTTACAAATAAAATATTTTTCACTTTCCAACACTTTTAGGATTGGTAAACTCAAGGTTGCTTCTCTAACACTAATAATTTTTCCCTTCAGCTTCTACTCTAAGGATACTTATGTGCTCTCTGGATCATATTTTAATCATAACATATAAATCCTGTTCAATGTTAAGAAGTACTAGATTACTCCAGAGTCAAAAATGAAAGATAAACTGAAAAGCAGAAAGGAAAACTGGCATTCTAGGCTCTTAACCATCTGGTGCTAACGGACTCTTTCTTGCCTAGCTCTTTCACTACTCATTTTTCCCTGTCTATGCTTGTATGCCTTTGATCACCCTGGCCCCTGGCCCAGAAAGGCCTTTCTCTCATACTAGTTGTCCTATTTCCACATGTCCAAATCCTACCCATTCTTCAAAGCATAGTTCAGGGGCCGGGCGTGGTGGCTCACAACTGTAATCCCAGCACTTTGGGAGGCCGAGGCAGGAGGACAGTTTCAGTCCAGAAGTTCAAGAACAGCCTGGGCAACATAATGAGACCCCGTCTCTACAAGTAATGAAAAATTAGCCAAGCATGTTGGTGTGTGCCTATATAGTCCCAGCCACTTGGGGGCTGAGGCAGAAGAACTGTTAGAGGCCAGGAAATCAAGGATGCAGTGAGCTGTGATGGCACCACAGCACTCAGTTTGAGTAACGGGAGTGAGATGCTGTCTCCAAATTAAAAAAAAAAAAAAAAGTAGTTCAAATGTCACCTCTTCTTTTATCCTTAAAACTAAAAGTAGACCGGGCACGGTGGCTCACGCCTGTAATCCCAGCACTTTGGGAGGCTGAGGCGGATGGATCACCTGAGGTCAGAAGTTCAAAACCAGCCGGGCCAACATGGCGAAACCCCGTCTGTACTAAAAATACAAAAATTAGCCTGGTGTGGCAGTTGGCGCCTGTAATCCCAGCTACTCAGGGAGGCTGACGCAGGAGAATCACTTGAACCTGGGAGGCAGAGGTTGCAGTGAGCCGAGATTGTACCACTGTACTCCAGCCTGGGTCAAAAACGAAAAACAAACAAACAAACAAAAATAAAAGTAATCTCTCCCTCCTCTCTAAACTCTTATAGTTCCTTATCTTTATCTTTTTACCACCCATTACTTTCTGCCTTTCATTATCACTGTTGTTTCCATATTTAATCCCCCACCTAAGCATAAAGTCCTCAGGGTCAAGGTCCATCTTTATTCAAACTGATTAACACAATCCCTTATACACACTAAGTGAGGTTAGGAAAGAAGCCCACCAGAAACAACTCCAGATTGAGTCCAGAGCCCTGGCTTTGCTAATAACTCACTATCTGACCTTGGCCTTGAGGCTCTTAGTATGTTCCTTCACTTACAAAGTTAAGAGGGTAGGCTAAACTAGTTGTATTTGTTGTTAAATGTAGGCTATAATCCATTAGCTGGGTGTAAAATTAATTTGGAAGTCAAAACCCAGCATTTTTAAAATGAAATGAAATAACAGAATATATCAATGTGTGTTATAAGCAGTGGGGTGCTATAAATGTTTAACAACTACCTATGAGGAGGGAAGCCCTAAGAATACCATTTGCTGAATTTCCTGGTGTAAATATTCCCACCATGACCAATTTTGAGCTACCAACATGATGTCACTGGACAAAGAGCTAGATAGGAAGAAATATGCACAACTGGTCTTGCAAGCCATTATAGCTAACTCAGTAGGGCCCTGAAAAGATAAATATTATTTCACCAAACTTTCAACTTTGTGTGTGTGTGCGCTTGCGGAATCAAGTAGTAAAATGTATTTTTTATTGTGGGTCACAGTCAAATGAGTTTAATAAATGTTCAGGTAAACAATCTCCTGGTGTCCTTCATGTATACTACATAATTTGATAAATCTTACTCTTGGTTACAGATGTCTCTTCACCACAATTCATATTTTTCTTCAAAAATGGGAGTAACAAACTGATATCACCAGAAGGCAAATTACACAGAGCAGGAATTTGGTTTATGGAATATCAGCCAAGTGCCAAGGTTTTTAGCATTTGTTCAGCCCTACATACCTGAAGGATATAACACACTCCTACTATCAATGGCTCACTTAGCAATGGGTTGGGGGGCAGGTAGGGGGTAAGAGGAGGAAATCCATAGTATAAAAAAAAAATCCAGATAATTCTAGTATTTGTGCTCATGTTCCCACCCCACTGAATACCCAGATACACAGAAAATTAGAGCAGTAAAAAGTAAATGTTCCATGCCTGATGTTTCCCAATCAAATTCCCTTGCATCCCTCAATGAGACTTCCATTACTAAGAATCACCTACTGGAACTAAGCTTTTACCATGGACTAGGGATGCATAGTTCTTGCTGAATTTAGAACAGGCAACAGGGAAAATAACACAGCAAACAGTTGTTAGGCTTCATATTCTGGGAAAATCAGCCTTTTATTAAAAAAAAAAACTGTCTTATTTTCCTCTTATTTAAGCTTACTAAACTGGGTGAGAATTTTCTTAAATATATTTTTGGCTGTACTATGTCTATCACAACACAGCCTGTAACCAGATTTTTCATGAGTATTTATAAAGAATTGTGTTGTTGTTGGGTTTTTTTTTTTTTTAAGCCCAACAGCACTGGCAAATGTTTTCTACTTTAAAAGCTATTTAGAAAATAAGAAGGCTCAGAATTTCAAGTATACTAATAATCTTAGCCCAAATCTAACTCTAAATCAACTGAATATATGCCTAGAACTTTCCCAGGAAAATCCCCAAAAAGTACACCAAAAAACACCAAAAGATAACAAAAAAGAGTTAGCATGCGCATAAACTTCGTATACCCAATTATGCCATCCCATCTGTTGAATAAGAGCAATATGGGAAGTAAACGAAGTATAAAAAGAAGATGTTCAGAGATGCAAGCTCTTCTTAATTCATTAACTCTTCCTTATTAGGGTCCACTGATGTTCACATACTTATACCCAATTCAAATACTGACTATAAAGTCAAAATTATTTCCCGTTCTGAAAGTCTAGGAGTCAAACAATGTCTTTCTCTATAATATCAGCATTAAAACTCTCCTTTAAAAATGAGTATGTTTTACCATAACTCAGGCTCAAGTCCGTACTTTCTCCGCCTCCACTGTTTGTAATGGCAAAATGCTCATCAGATCATCTCCACAAGAAACCCCTGAGCCATCTTTGAAATACCAGCACCTGGTGCGCTGCACCCACTAACTCATCATCTAGCATTAGGTATATCTCCCAATGCTATCCCTCCCCCCTCCCCCCTCCCCACCACAGTCCCCAGAGTGTGATATTCCCCTTCCTGTGTCCATGTGATCTCATTGTTCAATTCCCAGCATGGCACATGTATACATATGTAACTAACCTGCACAATGTGCACATGTACCCTAAAACTTAAAGTATAATTAAAAAAAAAAAAAAAAAAAAAAAAAACAGAAAGAGAAAAAAAAAAAAAAAGAAATACCAGCACCTGGAATAGCCTTGGGCTGCTGGTCATCCTCAGACTCAACGGCTGACCCATTTATATAAGTCAAGAGTTATAAAAATATAGAACTCATTAAAATTAAGACATAAGCAAGCTCTGTGCCTGGGAATCCCATAGGCTTACAGCAACAACTTCATTCTCCAAACCCCCTCTAACCAGTCATAATGATCCATACCCCACTTGAAGACAATGGTAGGTTGGAATGCAGGCCCACTTCTACACCTTCAATATAGGAAATTTTTGCTACTTAGCCACTACTCTCTTCAAAGTCAATCTCTTGAAGCCTAGCTATCTCCCACACATATTTTTACTTGGCACAACAGAATTCCTTCTTTTGATTACTCCAAAAGCATGGATAAAAGGACTTTCTGCTTCAATGCTGTATCATCTGAGAGTTCAAATAAATATACAATGGCTGAGCAAATTCAAGTTTGGGTTAAGGCAAAGAAAAAAATTCAAGTTTTTTAAAAGTCACAAATTTAGAACTGGAGAGCTGATCACATGAAAACTCCTGTTTCACATGCCTAATAAAATTCTTTCATTCAAAGGAAAAAAAAATCATAACTACCAGCGTAAAAAGAAAACATCTAAATCATGAAACAATTATCAAAGAAACAAAAATTCTCAGAACATCGCAACTGTAATATATAGAAATTCCCATCAAATAACTCAGGTGAAAAAAAAAAAAAATGGGACAAGCACCGTTGGCTCAGGCCTGTAATCCCAGCACTTCGAGAGGCTGAGGCGCAAGGACTGCCTGAGGCCAGGAGTTGGAGACTAGCCTGAGCAACATGGTGAGACCCTTGACTCTACAAAAATAAAACAAAAAATTAGCCAGGTTTGGTGGCATGTGCCTGTGGTCCCAGCTACTCAGGAGGCTGAGGTGGGAGGATCTCTTGAGACCAGAACTTCGTGGCTGCAGTGAGCTAGGACTGAGCCACTGCACTCCAGCCTGGGCGCCAGAGCGAGACCTTGTCTCTTTAAAAGAAACAAACAAACTTCATCTATTTACAGTCACACTTTTTTAGGTTGGTTTGTATATTCACCATATGCCCCAATAGTACTGAGACTTACTAACTTGTTTCCAGCTTTCTAGAGGACAATGTAGGTTATATAATATGTTCACATATAAGCTCTACCCTATTTCATCTACTTCTCCCCATATGACTTACTAGTACACATCAGAGGCCGGGCGCTGTGGCTAACGCCTGTAATCCCAGCACTTTGGGAGGCTGAGGCGGGCAGATCACCTGAGGTCAGCAGTTCCACCAGCCTGACCAACATGGAGAAACCCAGTCTGTACTAAAAATACAAAATTAGCCAGGCGTGGCGGCGCATGCCTGTAGTCCCAGCTACACAAAAAGCTGAGGCAGGAGAATCGCTTGAACCCGGGAGGCGGAGGTTGTGGTGAGCCGAGATCGCGCTGTTGCACTCCAGCCTGGGCATCAAGAGCGAAACTTCGTCTCAAAAATAATAATAATAATAATAATAATAATAATAATAATACACATCAGAGCAAATGTAGGCTACATAATATGTTAAAATATAAACTCTGCCCTGCTTTATCTACTTCTCTCCAAATGAATAATACATAATATCAGCGCATTTATTGAACTGATTTAGTATAGACACCAGTCTAACTCAAAGTCTAGAGCTAACCCCTCAGGCAGGTGTACATTTAATACAATTTGATGATAATGTATACATAAAGTTCAACTAGTCTTTCTCCTTAGAAATCTCATTGTCAATTTCATAAGGGACGCTCTACTGAGAAAATGAATCACAGGCCAGTTTTCTAGTACTAGGAGCTTGTGAACCAGTATTTTCCATGAACAAAATCCACTTCCAATGTGATCACAAAAAGCAAACTTCACATCCGTATCTTCTGACATCATAACTAATGGATATTCTACGGAAGATGCCAAATATAAACACTACTGTAAGAAAAGTCAGAAGGTTTTCATGAAACTGTGTTTTCAGAATTTTAACAAGCAACTACTTACCTCCCACTATGCACGAGGAAATTTAAATGTATTAAAAATCCCTAAACCCCTCCAGTGCCAAAAATAAAGGCCTTAAAATCATTTTCCAAACTGCGCTGAAATCTGTCAGGCAAGCAAAAGTTCTCCTTACCATTAGTGTAATAAGGCTGGCATTTCAGTTTACTTGCATGAAACCAATTTTGCAAGTGACCACCCAAGTTTTGGTACATATTCTAATATAACCCTATCTGAGAGATCCAAGGACCTGGACACACTGCCTAGTATCTGAAACCCGTCAGTTCAGCTCCCATGCACCCGGCCACCTCCCGCTAGCCGGTGGCCCCTTTCCACATGCTGACGCACTGCCCAGCCCTGTACCGTTGGCGACCAGTGCAAAGTACTAGCCCAGTCTCAGAAACTTTGACTCAGTTATCAGGACACTGAGCACTCACAAGGTGGGTGGGGGTTGGGGGGAGGTGTTTGTCATGGCTCAGGAGGTCAACTTTGAAGCGGGGCATTCCCTACAGGTAGGGATCTGCCCGGAACGCATCCCATCCCAAACTGCAAAACCACAAGCATCAACAGCAGGAGCCGAGCAAAGTGCTCGGCGGAGGAAGAGGAAGGGCGAGGGAGAGAAATGGTCGAGTACAGAAGCCTGCGTGTGGGTAAGAAAATACCCTAACCACTCGCCCACCGGACGCAGGGCGGCTGGGACTGCGAATCCAGCAGCAGCCACAGCGTAGCAGCGGGCGGCAGCCGCCGAGGCAGCAATGTCAGGAGGGCACAGCTGGAGGAGGCGGCCGCCAAAGCCACTACCCCACCCCCAGGTAAGGGCGCCGACCCCGCCCGCCCTATCCGCGAGGAGCGGCCACCTGGGAGAACTGCGGTGTCCGGGAGGCGGCCGACAGTCCTGAACCCGCCCCCTACCCTCCTTACCGCGGTCCTCCCGCATCCCAGTCCTCGGCTGGGGCCCCATCTCGACCCTCCCCAGGCTCAGCCCGACGCCAACACACCCAGGCAGCCTCGGCCCGCGGATCCGGGCCGCCGGGCCGCCCTCGTGTCCCTAGGAGGCCGTCCTCGCCTCACCTCTTCACGTCTCCGCGGGCGCTGCCGAGACAACAACTCCTTCAGGCGCCCGCGTTCCACCCTCCACCTCGCGCTCTGAAGCCGGGCCGGTCCCGTTCGCTCCGCCACCGCTGGAGCCCGAGGAGGGCGGAGGGAACTGAGAGGGGAGGGGAGAAGGGCCGCCTGGCAGGAAGAGGCGAGGGAGGGGGCGGGCCGAGAAGGAGGGGAGGAGGCGGTGGCGGCGGGTCGGAAGCGCGCTCGTCCAGGCCCCTCTGCGCGGCGTGCGCGCTCCTGATGTCGGAGGCGCCCACTCTGCCGGGCGGCGGCGGCGCACACGCGCGTGCACGTCGCTGCGTGGCCGCGGTTGCGCCGGGAGCGGAGGAGTGAGGTCCTGACAGAACCAGAGCTGTTAGAGCAGGGACGCGCGAAAGGCGGGAGTACGGGCGGCGCTGGAGAACCTCCGCGGCGGAGGGGCCTGGGGGTGGGACCGCGCCCGCGAGCCCGCCCTGACCGGGGTGCGTTCTACTGGCAGTTGCTGAGTTCGGAAGATTAACTCTGAATGTGGAGAGATTATTTTCTTGCTCGTAAACCTGGTTTACATATTTTCATTCTTAATGCTCAGTAATCTTAAGGAAAGTCACCTGAAAGAATACTTTTTCACCAAGTACTCTTCTGCGCCTGTTTGAAGGTGTCTGTGTGCTTGTGAAGCGCTCCCTTGTTAGTTCCTTCTGTGAGACTCGGGGGAGACTGAAGAGGGAAATCACCTGCGGGGAATGAACAGGAAAGCAATAAGTAAGCACCATTACGTATTATATGAAGAAAATGTGCCCTCATTTGCACCTTTTTATCCTTTGGGGTAAAAGATGTTGAGGTACAAACTAGGTAGAGGTAGAATAAACCAACGCTTTTTCGCTACGAAGATTGTACTGATCCTTGAATTGTGGACATCCTTCTTCTAGATCCTGCAACCAGAAATGACCTGTAAATTTTCCGAATCTCCTTAGCACTTTGTTCTGTAGTTTTGTGGCACCTAACATGTCAGGCTTATCCAGGTTGCCCTGTGCAGCATTTTATCCCACTAGACAACCGCTGTGAACCTGTATCATTCATTTGTATCTTACACTGTGCACCCTGCCTAACTCATAGGAAGCACTCAATGAATGTGATTGCATGGATAAGTGAATATAGTGTCCAGTGATTGCAGCCATAGAATGACTTTAGTTTAAATATCTCCCTTCTATCCCACTTCAATTCCCCTGCCCTCATTTTCCCACCCATATTTAAAAGCTACTCTGAGAAACGTGACATTTGTCCAAAGGGCCCTCCCTGACAAATTCCTTCCCCCCACACCCCCGCTTTTCCTGATGTTAATGTCTATAGATGCTGAGACATATCAAGAGTGTTGTAACTATTTTTTTGTTTCCCCTACCTTCTGGGCTGCTTCCCTTATTAACTTCTGTATCTCAGGAGCCTACCTAGCCCTGGGCCTGACAATAAATGCTGAAAGTTTTTATTATATTTAATAAAGTTAGGGTTAGAATAACATAAATCATCTGTTGATTTCCTGAGATGTACAGGAACTATTAATAAATCTGCCAACCAGTAAGTACTAAGCCTCTACTAAATAAAGTACTAGTAAATTTACACTGCGCGCCATGAGGAAATCAACAGTTGACAAAGCCGCAGTTTCTGCCTTCAGGTATCTTCTAACTGGAGTGAAGCTTTTTGACAAAAAAGGACAATGGATGTGGTAATTATGGGCATTCAATAGGTAACTTAGCTAAAAAAGAATTTAAAAAAAAAATGGCAAGTCCAAAACAAGTTTAGTGTTCCCCAAATTCAGTTCCATATGTCTTTGAAAGCAATAGTGGACACCACTGGCCACTGCGAGTTAATTCTTCTATTTAAGTGGAGCATGCTATCTTCATGTGCCAACTTGCTATAAGGAAAAGAAAAATCCTGTCCCATGGCCACATGTAACACCTCTCATCAACAGGGGTCATTCTTTAAAACTGAACTTTTCCTCACAGTACAACATAGATAAGAGACAAGTCATGAGAGAACCTAGATAAAAGACAATTAAGGTGATCTGATGCAAACTCATCCTTACCACCAGAAAAACAATTCTAAGCACATGCCAAAAAATTATTAACAGATCTTCAGGCTTTTAGTCGAGAAACTAAAAGGAATAAAAAATTAATAACAAAGCATTCTTCATGTGGTATGTGCTGCTCACTTCTCTTTCCACTGTGGCTTCATTTGCATTAAGCGTATCCTAGCAGCCCTGGTCCATGAAAGGACTGAAACTCTCACTTTGAGAGATGGTGTTATAAAATACTCCAGCATGATTCATAACATGACAAACTGGTGCCCCAGGTACAAATCAAACCCACAAACATGTTTTGTTTGGCATACATGGTGCTTAAAAAAACACATATCCAAAGTTAAAAACCAGAAGATTATACATGCATTTTGGGCTTCTCTTTAAAAAGTGGAAGATTTGGTAACAGTGAGCTTACATTATTACATGATAACGATCAGCTGCAGGACATGCATTCTCTCTTTTGCCAAAGTCTCTACATTCTCTATTGTATCTTACAGTGTTGTTTCTCTCATTTATGTCTGCAACTCCTAGTTTAAAATGTAATATCAAAAATTGGAAACAGACCAGGTGCAGTGGTTCATGCCTGTAATCCCAGCACTTTGAGAGGCCAAGGCAGAATTGCTTGAGCCCAGAAGTTCAAGATTAGCCTGGGCAACATAACAATACCCTGTCTCCACAAAAAAGAAAAAAAAAATTAGAAACAAGTTAAACATTGAACAATAATGTAAGAGTTTAAACTGGTATCTAATGGTACAGAATATCATATTGATTTTATAGTGAGCATTATATTGATTGATTCCCCAGAATATATTTCCACCCCTCTGCAATTGCAAGACAGCCAAGGATCTGATTAGGCCCATCTCCCGCTCCAGGTGTGGACAGTGATTGTGATAATCAGCCTAATCCCATTCTCACTTGACCTGTCAGTATTCACTGATAGGCACTGACATGAGTCTAAATTGGTGCCAGTCACATGGAAGGCCATATCTTGTGTTTGTTGGGAAATGAAAAGTGCTCTTTTTCTTACTCTGGCTAGTGTGATGGGTAGATGTGAGTCCAATAGTTACTGCAGCCACTTTGCTACCATGAGGAAGCCAGCCTGAGGATGAAGCTGACACATGATGGAAGCACTCAAACCCAGCTTGAAGCCTACCCCTTCCTCTGAGACAATAAATTTTCACAGCTTTTTTTTTTTTTTTTAAACAGTCTCACTCTGTTGCCCAGACTGGAGTGCAGTGGCGCAATCTCGGTTCACTACAACCCCTGCCTCCCGGGTTCAAGCGATTGTCCTGTCTCAGCCTCCTGAGAAGCTGGGATTACAGGTGCCCACCACCACGCCCAGCTAATTTTTGTATTTTTAGTAGAGATGGGGTTTCACCATATTGGCCGAGCTGGTCTCAAACTCCTGACCTCAGGTGATCCACCCGCCTCGGCCTCCCAAAGTGCTAGGATTACAGGCGTGAACCACCGTGCCCGGCCTGATTTTGACAGCTTTTTAAGAAGGTTCGAGTTTGGCTTTGTATTTCTTACAGATAAAGCTAAATCTTTCCATGCATACTATGGAACAAATAACTTTAGTTGCATTATATGACTCTTCCAAGGATACGTTTCCAATGATAGAAAGGTAACAAGCTGTCTGGCAAGATTTTACAGGGTCTTGAAAGGAATTTGACCACACCAAAAAATCCTTCCCTGACTGGGCTACCTGATGCCTGAAAGCCCATCGTTACACTTTTTTTTTTTTTCACTTTGACTTAAATCCTGTGCCCTATTTAAATCAACTTTGCCCAAGAAGAGCACTTCATGACTCGAATCACTAATCTTATATAAATGAGTTTATCACATGATTTTTTAGTCTTTTTTTTTTTTACTAACAGGAAGATTTGGAAAAGAGGCACTGGCTACTGGAGGAAGGGAGAAATCACCGAGAGAGCGAAAGATGTAACAGGTAAAACTGGAGATACAGAAGAAAACCTTTTTTATTTCACGGTTTTATGTAGGGCTGAAATTCAGAGTAATCTGGACAAGTCATAATGAGCTTATATGATAAACCAAACCTGTGTTGCAATCGCCCATTTAAGACTAAGAACACAATAAAATATGTATATAGGGAGCAGAAAATTTCCTCAGCAGTAGAAGAGGCAGGCAGAGATCTAAATGCCTGTTTTATTTTATTTTTTTGAGACAGAGTTTCACTCTTGCTGCCCAGGCTGGAGTGCAGTGGCGCAATCTCGGCTGACTGCAACCTCCGCCTCCCGGGTTCAAGCAATTCCCCTGCCTTAGCCTCCGGAGTAGCTGGGATTACAGGCACGCACCACCATGCCCAGCTAATTTTTGTATTTTTTTAGTAGAGACAGCGTTTCGCCACATTGGCCAGTCTGGTCTCGAACTCCTGACCTCAGGTGATCCACCCGCCTCAGCCTCCCAAAGTGCTGGGAGGGATTAAAGGCATGAGCCACTGCGCCTGGCCCTAAATGTCTCTTGAGGAAGAATAGCTAGCCTACTACTTTTATTTCTTTTATTTTTTATATTTTTTATTTTTTGAGACAGGGTCTCACTCTGTCACCCAGGCTGGAGTGCAGTGGTGCGATCTTGGCTCACTGCAACCTCCACCTCCCGGGTTCAAGTGACTCTCCTGCCTCAGCCTCCCAAGTAGCTGGGATTATAGGTGCCCACCACCACACCTGGCTAATTTTTGTATTTTTAGTACAGACGGGGTTTCACCGTGTTGGCCAGGCTGGTCTCAAACTCCTGACCTCAAGTGATCTGCCCACCGTGGCCTCCCAAAGTGCTGAGATTACAGGCATGAGCCACCATGCCCAGCCTCTACTACTTTTAGAATTTGATACTTAATGTAAAGGACACCTACCAAAAATGGTTTTTCCCATACATTATGGTAGGTGTCTGAAATTCATCTCACCATAGGAGTCCTTTTCTTTTATGTGGGGCAGTGATCCTCTGTAGTGTATAACAAAATCACCTTGGGAGTTTATAAAAATGCATATCTCTATGCTCAACCCCCAAGAAATTCAGTACCTCTAAGATAGGCCCCAGGACTTGTTTCAACTTTTTCTTATAAAAAATGTTTAAGCACATAAAAAGTAGAGAGAAGAGTATAATGAGCCTTCATGAGTCAGTCATTCAGCTTGAACAATTATCAATATGTGGCCAATCTCCTTCCCCACCCCTCACATGGATATCACCCATAAATACTTCATCATATAAAGCTCTAAAAGATAAGAATTCTTGACCAGGCATGGTGGCTCAGGCCTGTAATCCCAGCGTTTTGGGAGACCGAGGCAGGAGGATTGCTTGAGCCCAGGAGTTTGAGACCAGCCTGGGAAACATAGCTAGACCCCATCTCTACAAAAAATTTAAAAATTAGCCAGGGGTGATGGCACGCACCTGTGGTCCCAGCTACTTGGGAGGTTGAGGTAGGAAGACCGCTTGAACCTGGGAGGTCAAGGCTGCAGTGAGCCATAAGGGGGTGACAAAGCAATACCTGTCTCAAAAAAAAAAAAGATAAGGATTCCTTTTTGCAATCAATAAAATCCAGAATGTGGGAAACTCTATAGGACATACCACCAAGTTTCTTCAGCAAATAAATTGCATACATATAAGTGAGAAGAAGGATCTGTTGAACTTGCTTGGATGTTGATTTTGTTTGTCCTTTTTAACATCTTCATGAGATATAACAGACATACAATAAGCTATTCATATTTAAAGTGTACAATTTGACAAGTTTTGACATATGTACGCAACTGTGAAACCATCACCACAATCAAGAGTAAACATATCCATCATGCCCCTTTGTAATCTCTCCCTCCTACTCTGACTCATACCCCTCCATGTCCTCAGGCACTCACTGATGTTGCTAGAGATTTGTTTGCATTTTCTAGAATTTTCTATAAATGGAATCATATAGTATGTATTCTTTTTTTGTGTTGCTTTTTTTACTCAGTATAATCATTTCAGGATTCATCCATGTTTTTGCACTTGTCAATAATCTATTCCTTCTAAGTCTTTGAGTCTCACAACATGTATCAAGTTCCAGTACTCATGTGAGCCACTGGGCTTCAGTATATACTTGACTTCAGCTTCCTGTAATGCTCTGGTTTTTTGTTTTCCTTTTTCTAAAAGCTAGTGATTTCCTTTTCTTTTTTCTTTCTTTCTTTTTTTTTTTTTTTGTTATTGTTGTTGTTTCGATGGCTAAAAAAAAAATTTCTTTGAGACAGGGTTTTACTGTGTCGCCCAGGCCACAGTGGAAGTGGCATGATCACAGCTCACTGCAGCTTCAATCCCCTGGGCTCAAGTGATCCTTTCACCTCAGCCTCCCGAGTAGCTGGGACCTCAGGTGAACGCTGCCATGCCTGGATTTTTTTTTTTTATTTTTGATAGAAATGGGACATCTCTATGTTGCCCAGGCTGGTCTTAAACTTCTGGGCTCAAGTGAGCCTTCTGCCTCAGCCTCCCAAAGTGCTAGGATTGCAGCCACCATACCTAGCTGATTTCCCTTTCTTGCTTTCAAGCTTGACAAAATACATTTTTTCAATTTTTAAAGTTATTATCCCACATTTGTATATTTTTGTAAAGGTAGGGAGTCTTTCCTTGTCAGCCCAGCTAGCCATATTAGTCTGAATTATGTTAATTTTTTAATAATGTAAAGAAACTATACAAAGAGGGAGGCTGCTTTTCTACAGATGTGGTATCTTCCTTCCTGATGCTTTCCCTGCACAAGCGTTTCCAAACAGAGCTTTGGCAGTAAACTCCAAGTTCCTTTGAAGTACTTACCATAGGCCTACTAAATTGCAGGTTTTGAATATATAAGAAATATTCCTTAAATACATATGTTTTGTAGAAAAAGCTACTTCAAAAATTACAAATACTTTCATGGTAAAGGGAGGAAAATTACCACTTTCCTCTTCTGAGTCAAGGGAAGTTCACGCCCTCTCCACCACACCCTACCCCTCCCTCCAAGACATTTTTTTAGTCCTTTTCCCTTTGCCACATAAAAAATAAGCTGCAAATTTGAAAAAAGATTATGTCTAATTCTAAGAGACTCTCTAATACAAAAGTAAATGAGAATTATAAAATGACAAATGCCATTGCTTTAGAATATATTAAAATATTCCTAAAACTTTGTCTAACACTTTCAATTTCAGGAAAATTCTTACTATTTAATTCTCTGATTTGGTGACGGTGACAATAACAACCTCTTCGTGGAAGATTTTTAGTTTTTGACACACCTACATACATCATTACTAATAATTTCAAACTGCTAATAATTTCAAACTGCATATGAAAATCAGAATTGTATCTTGTAATTATATTCAAAATATCTTGTTTCATAGGCAGATGGTGCATAAATTGATAGCCATTGTGTTATTCTCTGTACCTTTTGATGTATTTTAAATTATGTAATCATTTTTAATTGAATTCCACCATCAATGTATGCCTTACTTTGGATGCATACCCTTTAATCTCATTTTTGTAGAATTGATATCTTGCTCTACTGTACCCCACAACACCAGATACATATATTTTTACTGCACCTATAACACTTTCATACATTTAAAATTTTTTATCACCATCTTTTTCTACCAGACTGAACACTTTGAATTCAAAAATTATGGGTTTTTTTTTCCTAGTACCTAGGCATTCAGTATGTTTATTGTATGAATGATTGAATGAATATATTTACAAATTTGTGTTAGAATTTGCTGAGATGCTTCTCTTAGTGAAACAGAGAGCTTAAATAATAGAACAAATCCCTGATTACTGACCATGAGTTAGTCTTTCTTTGGTTGCAAGTGACAGAAGTGTTCTCTACATAGAGAAAGCAAGCATTTAAAGAACACTGAATCTACAGTACAATTAAATATCTTTACCAATAATTCAAACTTATTAGTAATTAATGTCAGACCTAACCATCTTATTAAAAGAAATATATTTAAGTGTGTATGCCAGAGACTCCTAGCTGCTTGCCTCATCATCCATTTTCTCCTTCCATCTTAGTAAAAGAACCCCAAATTTATCCAATATTAAACTATACACAGATAAAAGACTATAATTCCTGTCTTCCTTTGCAGCCAATATTCTGGCAAATGAGAAAAGTAACTGTGAAATTTTCTTCAAAGAGAGAGACTGGCCTCTTCTTTTCCCTTTCTTCCCTCCTACTACCTGGAACATAGATGTGATGGTTGAATCTAGCAACCATCTTCAGCCGGAGGATGAGGACCACCCTAGGTATGGTGTAGTGACCAACCAGAAGGAGTTTATGTCCATGATGACTTTGTGGAACCTCCATCCCACCTGAAATCCCACCTAAAATGCCAATTTCCAAACTTATAGAGAATGAAACCTTGTGTGTTTAATCCATTATTTGCTATTTTTAGTTTTACTCACTTGCAACTGAACTTAATTCTAACTACTATTTTTACTCTTAAACCTTATCTTAGGGTCATATTCCTTCTTAATTGATTCACATGATTTCTGAAGAGATTATAATTTATAATTTATGGGATTATTAAAATAATTTCAGAAAAATATAATTCTAGCACTCTGGGAGGTCAAGGCGGGTGGATCACTAGAGCTCAGGAGTTCAAGACCAGCCTGGGCAACATGGCGAAATCCCATCTCTACAAAAAATACAAAAATTATCTGGGTGTGGTGGTGCCTGCCAGTAGTCCCAGCTGCTTGGGGGGCTGAAGTGGAAGGATTGCTTGAGCCAGAGAGGTGGAGGCTGCAGTGAGCAGAGATCCCGCCACTGTACTCCAGCCTAGGCAACAGAGTGAGACCCTATCTCAAAAAACAAATAAAAATTCCTAGCCAGGCATGGTGACTCATGCCTTGAATCCCAGCACTTTGGGAGGCCAAAGCAAGAGGATCACTTCAGGCCAGGAGTTTGAGACTAGCCTGGGCAACATAGCAAGACCCCATCTCTATAAAAAAAATGTTTTTAAATAGCCAGACATGGTGGCACACGCCTGTAGTCTCAGCTACTGTGGAGGCTACAGCAGGAGGATCACTTGAGCCCAGGAGTTTGAGGTTATAGTAAGCTATGATAGCACCACTGCAGTCCAGCCTGGGTGATAAAGGAAGACCGTGTCTCTAAAAATAATAATAACAATAATAATAATTCCTTTAAAATTGAAATTCTTCACTTGGATGCCTCATATCTAGAAGGATAGCTGATATAGGAAATTTAAATAAGAATTTCAGTAATTATTTCATCTTAATAACCATGGCTAAAGGGTTGTTGTTGTTTTTTAAGTCCTTTGTGGTTTGATAATCATTCTACTGAAAGTACACTGCATATTTCCCTGTCTTAGAAAGACTGAATTTTTTTTTTGAGATGGAGTCTCACTCTGTCACCCAGGCTGGAATGCGGTGGCGTGATCTCGGCTCACTGCAACCTCTGCCTCCGGGTTCAAGCGAGTCTCCAGCCTCAGCCTCCAGAGTAGCTGGGATTACAGGTGTGCGTCACCATGCCCAGCGAATTTTTGTATTTTTAGTAGAGATGGGGTTTCACAATGTTGGCCAGGCTGGTCTCAAACTCCTGACCTCAAGTGATCCGCCTGCCTCAGCCTCCCAAAGTGCTGGGATTATAGGCATGAGCCACCGCACCTGGCCAAAAGACTGAATTTTTTGTCATTCAAATTTTTAATTTATTTCCTTCATAAATTTTGAATATATACATTTTATTTGCTTCGGGACTTAGTGTAGTGATTGGTGAATGAAACTAATATAGGAATTGTAAAATTTTTTATTTTAAAAATTTGAGCTTGCAATGCTCTTTTCCTCTTAAGACATGTACCCGCAGGTTCTGAAAGGTTTCCACCAACTGTGTAGCAGAAAATCTGTATATTTATTGCATTGAACTAGTGTGACTTGTAAAATATAATCAAAACATAACTATTCTCTTAAAACTAACTCAGTGGGGTTAGCTTTTTCCCCTGCCACAAAGATGAAAATTCCAGCAAGTCTCATGACTTTCCTGCCCGCTTGCAGAAATCATAAGGTCTTAAATTTTTAAAATCACAAAATTCAGCCTCATTTGAAAGGGAGGATTCTGAGAAAAGAAACGTGTTCAGCTCTTCTCTCTTTCCTGTTCGTGTTCTCACCTACTCAATGGCTGTTGTCAGTGACTCTCTCATCCTTTTTTATGGCTGCGTAGTACTCCATGGTGTGTATGTGCCACATTTTCTTTATCCAGCCTATCATTGATGGGCATTTGGGTTGGTTCCAAGTCTTTGCATTGTGAATAGTGCTGCAATAAATATATGTGTGTGTATGTCTTTATAGTGGAATGATTTATAACCCTTTGGGTATATACCCAGTAATGGGATTGCTGGGCCAAATGGTATTTCTGGTTCTAGATCCTTGAGGAATTGCCACACTGTCATCCACAATGGTTGAACTAATGTACACTCCCACCAACACTGTAAATGCGTTCCTATTTCTCCACATCTTCTCCAGCATCTGTTGTTTCCTAACTTTTTAATGATCGCCATTCTAACTGCCATGAGATGGTATCTCATTGTGGTTTTGATTTGCATTTCTCTAATGACCAGTGATGATGAGCTTTTTTTTTCATATGTTTGTTGGCTGCATAAATGTCTTCTTTTGAGAAGTGTCTGTTCATATCCTTTGCCCACTTTTTGATGGGGTTGTTTTTTTCTTGTAAATTTGTTTAAGTTCCTTGTAGATTCTGGATATCAGCTCTTTGTCAGATAGATAGATTGCAAAAATTTTCTCCCATTCAAAAAAAAAAAAAAAAAAAAAAAGGCCGGGCGCGGTGGCTCACGCCTGTAATCCCAGCACTTTGGGAGGCCGAGGCGGGTGGATCACGAGGTCAGGAGATCGAGACCATCCTGGCTAACACGGTGAAACCCCGTCTCTACTAAAAATACAAAAAATTAGCCGGGCGTGGTAGCGGGCGCCTGTAGTCCCAGCTACTCGGGAGGCTGAGGCAGGAGAATGGCGTGAACCCGGGAGGCGGAGCTTGCAGTGAGCCGAGATTGCGCCACTGCACTCCAGCCTGGGCGACAGAGCGAGACTCCGTCTCAAAAAAAAAAAAAAAAAAAAAAAAAAATTTTCTCCCATTCTATAGGTTGCCTATTCACTCTGATGGTAGTTTCTTTTGCTGTGCAGAAGCTCTTTAGTTTAATTAGATCCCATTTGTCAATTTTGGCTTTTGTTGCCATTGCTTTTTGTGTTTTATTCATGAAGTCTTTGCCCATGCCTATATCCTGAATGGTACTGCCTAGGTTTTCTTTTAGGGTTTTTATGGTTTTAGGTCTAATGTTTAAGTCTTTAATCCATCTTGAGTTAATTTTTGTATAAGGTGTGAGGAAGGAGTCCAGTTTCAGTTTTTTGCATATGGCTAGCCAGTTTTCCCAATGCCATTTATTAAATAGGGAATCCTTTCCCCATTTCTTGTTTTTGTCAGGTTTGTCAAAAATCAGATGGTTGTAGATGTGTGGTGTTATTTCTGAGGCCTCTGTTCTGTTCCATTGGTCTATATATCTGTTTTGGTACCAGTACCATGCTGTTTTGGTTACTGTAGCCTTGTAGTATAGTTTGAAGTCAGGTAGCGTGATGCCTCCAGCTTTGTTCTTTTTGCTTAGGATTGTCTTGGCTATACAGGCTCTTTTTTGGTTCCATATGGAATTTAAAGTATTTTTTTTAATGCTGTGAAGAAAGTCAATGATAGCTTGATGGGAATAGCATTGAATCTATAAATTACTTTGGGCAGTATGGCCATTTTCACAATATTGATTCTTCCTATCCATGAGCATGGAATGTTTTTCCATTTGTTTGTGTCCTCTTTTATTTCTTTGAGCAGTGGTTTGTAGTTCTCCTTGAAGAGGTCCTTCACATCCCTTATAAGTTTTATTCCTAGGTATTTTATTCTCTTCGTAGCAATTGTGAATGAGAGTTCACTCATGATTTGGCTCTGTTTGTCTATTGTTGATGTATAGGAATGCTTGTGATTTTTGCAGGTTGATTTTGTATCCTGAGACTTTGCTGAAGTTGCTTATCAGCTTAAGGAAATTTTGGGCTGAGACAATGGGGTGTTCTAAATATAAAATGATGTCATCTGCAAACAGAGACAATTTGACTTCTTCCTTCCTATTTGAATACCCTTTATTTCTTTCTCTTGCGTGATTGCCCTGGCCAAAATTTCCAGTACTATGTTAAATAGGAGTGGTGAAAGAGGGCATCCTTGTCTTGTGCCAGTTTTCAAAGGAAATGCTTCCGGCTTTTGCCCATTCAGTATGTTATTGGCTGTGGGTTTGTCATAAATAGCTCTTATTTTTTTGACATACGTTCCATCAATACCTAGTTTATTGAGAGTTTTTTAGCATGAATGGGGTGTTGAATTTTATCGAAGGCCTTTTCTGCATCTGTTGAGATAATCGTGGTTTTTGTCATTGGTTCTGTTTATGTGATGGATTATGTTTATTGATTTGCATATGTTGAACCAGACTTGCATCCCAGGAATGAAGCCGACTTGACGGTGGTGGATGAGCTTTTTGATGTGCTGCTGGATTCGGCTTGCCAGTATTTTACTGAGGATTTTCGCATCTATGTTCATCAGGGATATTGGCCTGAAATTTTCTTTTTTTGTTGTGTCTCTGCCAGGTTTTGGTATCAGGATGATGCTGGCCTCATAACATTAATTAAGGAGGAGTTCCTGTTTTTCTATTTTTTGGAATAGTTTCAGAAGGAATGGTACCAGCTCCTCTTTGTACCTCTGGTAGAATTCAGCTGTGAATCCGTCTGGTCCTGGACTCTTTTTGGTTGAAAGGCGATTAATTACTGCCTCAATTTCAGAACTTGTTATTAGTCTATTCAGGGATTCGACTTCTTCCTGGTGTAGTCTTGGGAGGGTATATGTGTCCAGGAATTTATCCATTTCTTCTAGATTTTCTAGTTTATTTGCCTAGAGGTGTTTATAGTATTCTCTGATGGTAGTTTGTACTTTTATGCAATCAGTGGTGATATCCCCTTTATCATTTTTTATTGTGTCTGTTTGATTATTCTCTCTTTTCTTCTTTATTAGTCTCTCTAGCGGTATATTTCGTTAATCTTTTCAAAAAACCACCTCCTGGATTCATTCATTTTTTGAAGGCTTTTTTGTGTCTCTATCTCCTTCATTTCTGCTCTGATCTTAGTTATTTCTTGTCTTCTGCTAGCTTTTGAATTTGTTTGCTCTTGCTTCTCTAGTTCTTTTAAATGTGATGTTAGGGTGTTAATTTTAGATCTTTCCCACTTTCTCCTGTGGGATTTTAGTGCTATAAATTTCCCTCTAAACACTGCTTTAGCTGTGGCCCAGAGATTCTGGTACATTGTGTCTTTGTTCTCATTGGTTTCAAAGAACTTATTTATTTCTGCCTTAATTTTGGTAATTTTTCTCCATCCCTTTATTTTGAGCCCACGTGAGGTGGGTTTCCTGAATACAGCACACCGATGGGTCTTCACTTTTTATCCAATTTACCAGTCTGTGTCTTTCAATTGGGGCATTTAGCCCATTTACATTTAAGGTTAATATTGTTATGTGTGAATTTGATCCTTTCATTATGATGCTAGCTGGTTGTTTTGCCTGTTAGTTGAGGCAGTTCCTTTATAGTGTTGACAGTCTTTACAATTTGGTATGTTTTTGCAGTGGCTGGCACTAGTTTTTCCTTTCCATATTTAGTTCTTCCTGCAGGAGTCTTGTAAGGCAGGCCTGGTGGTGACAAAATCCCTCAGCATTTGCTTGTCTATAAGGGATTTTATTTCTTCTTCACTTATGAAGCTTAGTTTGGTTGGATATGAAATTCTGGGTTGAAAACTCTTTTCTTTAAGAATGTTGAATATTGGCCCCCACTCTCTTCTGGCTTGTAGGGTTTCTGTAGAGAGATCCACTGTTAGTCTGGTAGGCTGCCCTTTGTGGGTAACCCGACCTTTCTCTCCGGCTGCCCTTAACAATTTTTCCTTCACTTCAACCTTGGTGAATGTGACAATTATGTGTCTTGGGGTTGCTCTTCTCAAGGAGTATCTTAGTGGTGTTCTCTGTATTTCCTGAATTTGAATGTTGGCCTGTCTTGCTAGGTTGGGGAAGTTCTCCTGGATAATATCCTGAAGAGTGTTTTCCAACTTGGTTCCATTCTCCCCATCACTTTCAGGTACACCAATCAAACGTAGGTTTGGTCTTCTCACATAGTCCCATATTTCTTGGAGGATTTGTTCATTTCTTTTCATTCTTTTTTCTCAAATCTTGTCTTCTTGCTTTGTTTCATTAAGTTGATCTTCAGTCTCTGATATCTTTTCTTCCACTTGATGGATTTGGCTATTGATACTTGCGTATGCTTCACAAAGTTCTCATGCTGTGTTTTTCAGCTCCATCAGGTAATTCATGTTCTTTTCTAAACTGGTTATTCTAGTCAGCAATTCCTCTAACCTTTTATCAAGGTTCTTAGCTTCCTTGCATTGGGTTAGAACATGCTCCTTTAGCTCAGAGGAGTTTGTTATTACCCACTTTCTGAAGCCTTCTTCTGTCAATTCATCAAACTCATTCTCCATCCAGTTTTGTTCCCTTTCTGGTGAGGAGTTGTGATCCTTTGGAGGAGAAGAGGCGTTCTGGTTTTTGGAATTTTCAGCCTTTTTGCACTGTTTTTTTCTCATCTTCATGCATTTATCTACTTTTGGTCTTTGATGTTGGTGACCTTCAGATGGGGTTTCTGTGTGGATGTCCTTTTTGTTGATGTTGATACTATTCCTTTCTGTTTGTTAGTTTTCCTTCTAATGGTCAGGCCCCTCTGCTGCAGGTCTGCTGGAGTTTGCTGGAGGTCTAATCCAAACCCTGTTTGCCTGGGTATCATCAGTGGAGGCTGCAGAACAGCAAAGATTACTGCCTGTTCCTTCCTCTGGAAGCTTCATCCCACAGGGACACCCACCAGATGCCAGCCAGAACTCTCCTATATGAGGTGTCTGTCGACCCCTGCTGGGAAGTATCTCCCAGTCAGGAGGCACAGGGGACCCACTTGAGGAGGCAGTCTGTCCCTTAGCAGAGCTCGAGTGCTGTGCTGGGAGACCTACTGCTCTCTTCAGAGCTAGCCGGCAGGAATGTTTAAGTCTACTGAAGCTGTGCCCAAAGGAGCCCCTTCTTCCAGGTGCTCTGTCCCAGGGAAATGGGAGTTTTATCTATAAGCCCCTGACTGGGGCTGCTGCCTTTCTTTCAGAGATGCCCTGCCCAGAGAGGAGGAATCTAGATAGGCAGTCTGGCTACAGTGGCTTTGCCGCCCTGCAGTGGGCTCTACCCAGTTCAAACTTCCCGGCAGTTTTGTTTATACTGTGAGGGGAAAACCACCTACTTAAGCCTCGGTAATGACAGACGCCTCTCCCCACACCAAACTCAAAGTCCTAGGTCGACTTCAGACTGCTGTGCTGGCAGTGAGAATTTCAAGCCAGTGGATCTTAGCTTGCTGGGCTTTGTGGCGGTGTGATCCGCTGAGCTAGACCACTTGGCTCCCCGGCTTCAGCCCCCTTTCCAGGAGAGTGAACAGTTCTGTCTCGCTGGCAGTCCAGGCGCCACTGGGGTAAGAAAAAAAAAAAAAAAAAAAAAACTCCTGCAGCTAGCTCAGTGTCTGCCCAAACGGCCACCTAGTCTGTGCTTGAAACCCAGGGCCTTGGTGGTGTAGGCACCTGAGGGAATCTCCTGGTCTGTGGGTTGCGAAGACCATGGGAAAAGCATAGTATCTGGGCCAGAATTTACCATTCCTGATGGCTTCCCTTGGCTAGGGAAGGGAGTTCCCCAACCCCTTGTGCTTCCCAGGTGAGGTGACACCCCACCCTGCTTCAGCTTGCCCTCCATGGGCTGCACCCACTGTCTAACCAGTCCCAATGAGATGAGCTGGGTAACTCGGTTGGAAATGCAGAAATCACCCGCCTTCTGCATTGATCTCACTGGGAGCTGCAGACTGGAGCTGTTCCTATTCATCCATCTTGCCAGCCACCCTCAGTTTTACATTTTAAGTTTGACAGTGATTAGACATCCAAGCGAAGACTTTTTATTTTATTTTATTTTTTGAGACACAGTCTTGCTCTGTCACCCAGGCTGTAGTGCAGCAGCATGATCTCGATTCACTGCAACCCCTGGAAGGCCTCCCAGGTTCAAATGATTCTCCTGCCTCAGCCTCTGGAGTAGCTGGGATTACAGGCACCCACCACCACACCTGGCTATTTTTTGTATTTTTAGTAGAGATGGGCTTTCACCATGTTGGCCAGGCTGGTCTCAAACTCCTGACCTTAGATGATCCTCCTGCCTCAGCCTCCCAAAGTGCTGGGATTACAGGCATGAGCCACCATGCCCTGCCTATTTTATTTTTTGAGACAGGGCCTCCCTCTGTTGCCCAGGCTGGAATGCAGTGGTTCATGATAGCTCACTGCAACCTCAAACTCCTGGGCTCAAGTGATTCTCCTGCCTCAACTTCCAAAGTAGCTGAGACTACAGGTGTATGCCGCCATGCCTGGTTAATTTTTTTCTGTAGAGGTGGGGTCTTGCTATGTTGCCCAGTTTGGTGCAAGTGGCAATTTTGACTAGAAAATTAAATATATGATCTTGGGTTCAGATCCACGCCGGAGAGAGAAATTTGAAACTCATTAACATATAGTCTTCTTCCTTTTTAAAAAACAATGTCGAAAATTACATGAAAGATGCAAGGATAGCACAAACAACGTTTTTCCTCAGTCATTTGAGAATAATGACAAAAGCTGACCCAGTAATGACACAATGAGAATTCTGACACCATGCCCCATCACCCCGATACTTCAGTGTGTTCTTCCTATAAATAAGGACATTTTCCTGTATAAACACAATAAACCCATCAAAATCTAGAAATTAAGATTGCTATACTTACCTAACCCTCAGACCTTATCCAAATCATAATGTCCTTTATAATAAAAGGATTCAGTTCAGAATTTACCTATTATGTCTCTTTAGTCTCCTCCACTCAGGAATATTTCCTTGGGCTTTCGTTGATTTTCATGGCCTTGCTGCTTTTGAAGATTAACAGGCCAGTTATTTTGAAGTATATCCCTCAATTTTGAATTTATTTTATATTTCATCATGATTAGATTCAGATTATGCATCTCTCTATTAAGAATATAAATAAGCAATCCTATATTCTTATTGCATCCTATCAGGTGTTAGGGACACAACTGCAATTTGTCTCATTATTGATGGTGTTAATTTGAATCACTTGATTAAAGTAATATAAGCTTCTCCATTTTAAAGCTTTTTTTCCCTTTTGTACTTAATAAGTATTTTGTGGAAAAGTACTTTGAAGCTATGTAAATATCCTATTCTTTTTTGTTTTTGTTTTGAGACAGGGTATTGCTCTGTCTCCCAGGCTGGAGTGCAGTGCCAGGATCATAGCTCACTGTAGCCTCAACCTCCCAGGCTCAGGTGATGTTCCCACCTGAGCCTCCTGGGTAGCTGGGACTAGAGATGCACGCTAGTGGTTTTTTTTTTGTTTTTTTTGTTTTTTTTTTTTTTGGTAAAACAGGGTTTTACCATGTTGCTCAGGCTGCTCTTGAACTTCTGGGCTCGAGCAATCTACCTGCCTTGGCCTCTCAAAGTGCAGGGATTACAGGTGTGAGCCACCACGTCTGGCAAATAGCCTATTCTTCATCAAACTTTATTTATTTATTTATTTATTTATTTATTTACTTACTTACTTACTTATTTATTTATTGAGATGGAGTCTTGCTCTGCCGCCCAGGCTGGAGTGCAAATGGCATGATCTCAGCTCACTGCCCCCTCCGCCTCCTGGGTTCAAGCAATTTTCCTGCCTCAGCCTCTGGAGTAGCTGGGATTACAGGCACCCACCACCACACCTGGCTATTTTTTGTATTTTTAGTAGAGATGGGCTTTCACCATGTTGGCCAGGGTGGTCTCAAACTCCTGACCTCAGGTGAAACACCTGCCTCGGCTTCCCATAGTGCTGGGATTACAGGCATGAGACACTATGCCCGACCTTCAAACTTTCCATGTATTAAATTTATTAATTTATGTTTGTATTGACTCATTGTTTTTTAAATGAGTATAATCTGTTTCCATCATTAATTCTCAAATGATCTCATCCCATGATTTGAAGAAGTCTAAATAAATAAATATCCAATTGTCTCAGATTTGGTCAGTAGAAAGCCCAAGCTGGCTTCTCTCTTTTTGATATACCCCCATCATTCTTAGAGCACTTTTTTGTCTGGTTCAGCAGATGTTCCAGGGTTAATTTGTATTTTTGCTGCCCCAGTACTGGAATCAGCCATTTCTCAAAGAACCCTGGTTATTTTTGTGGAGAACGATACTTAGAAGTCAAAATCTGGGGCTAGATGTGCTCAGTTGCTACTGGGGTGTAGCTACTCCCAGGCTCTGTCAGTGGTCAGAAGTGAGGAATATAGAGATAAAAATAGAGATACATGAAAACATATACACTTTTACATCTATATTTATTTCTATAACTATATATCTCTATCAATCAATCTATTTAGATATACAACCATAAATTCACACAAATATCTCCTATTCTAATCAAACATCACAAGGTTTATTCTAGTATTCTTTTCCATCTGACAATGGGGAACCTGGCTCTAACTTTTTAATATATTTATTTATGTAATTAAGCCCCCTGTAATAACAGATCATTGATTGTCACCACCACTCTCTTCTATGCACAAATGTCCTCCTCACTCCACTCAGTCTCTAACACCCATACCTGACTACCCCTGCCATGTAAATGTCTTTCTCATTCTGCTTAGGCTTTGACTCCTCGTGCATGACCAGTTTTCTGTGTGGATACCCAGTAGCCCATACTATGCTGCCCCTCTCCATGGATGTCCTTCTCACTCTGCTCAGGCTATAACTATCCTTGCTACACAGTCCTCTTATGCAAGCATCCTCCTTTCCCAGATTGGGCTCCAAAATCCCAATTGGCCTCTGTGATTCTCTCCAACTCAGGCCCAATTCCAACCTTGCTTTTTCCACCTAATGGCTTTGGGATCAAATCATTTAAGAAGAGAAGGGAGAGAAAGGAAAGGGGAAGAGAAAGATATATATATATCCTATATCTATATCTATATCTATACCTAGATATCCTATATCTAAAACTATATACAAACTACATATACGTAACTATATATATACATATATATGTATGTAACTACATATATACACATATATATATGTGTGTATATATATAGTTTTTGAAGCCACAAGACTGATTGAAAGCTCCTAGGGAATGAAATGAGGGTAGATAGAGAAGAGGAGAACTGAGCTAGCTGTGGGGCACTCCAGTTTTGACATTTACTTGTCAATGTAATGAAGAGGAACCAGCAAAGTAGACTCCAAAGAAGCCAAAGAGATAAGGGAAAAACCAGGAGAGAGAGGTTTTTTTGGAAGCCAATACAGAATGTGTTCCAAGAAGATCAACTGTGCTGAATACTGCTAAGAGGTCAACCATGATATCATGAAGACTGATAATTCGGCATTGGGTTTAGTGATATGGAGGGCAATGGTATACTTGATGAAAGTATTGCCAGTGGAATAGTGAAGGCAAAAAGGCTTATTAGAGTGGATTCAAGATAGAATGAGAGATGACCGAGGGACAACAAATTTAGATAATTCCTTTGAGATTTTCTGCAAAAAGAAGTGGAGCTGTGGCTAATGAAGGATGTGAGATCAGGATAGAGTTTCTTTTATTAAGTGGGAGATATTCAAATATATATTATATGTTGATGTTAATGATTCTACAAAAAGAGAAAAGTTGATACAGGAAAGAGATGGAATAATTTTGGGAGCAAAAGAGGATAGGACCAAGGGCACAGGAGGGAGGGGTTAGACTCAGACAGAAACAGGAATATTTCAACCTTCATAGTAGAAGGGAAGGTAAGATGCAGGTAAGTGAGTAGAATTAGTGGTGAGAAGTTGTGAAGGTTCTCTTCTAGTTGCTTCTTTTTTTCAGTGAAGTGTTAACAGAAAGCAAGATCATCAGCTGAGAGGGAGGAGGAAGAAAGAGGCTTGAGGGGAACAGCTTCATCTGAAGAGTAGAACAGTCAAATGACTATGGAATTGTAAAGAATTGCTGGGCAACACTGAGAACCCAGTTGAGGCTTGATGTCATAATTTTAAAGTGAGTCCAATTAGCATGATAATTTGTTCTTCTCCAGTTGATTAGATGTAGACATGGAATAGGTGAGAAGTTGCATTTCATCAAGCTTGGAGTTTTGCCAGGCAAGTACCAAAGGAGAGAAGGGCAAGGGTGTTGAGAGTGTGAATTCTCTGTACAAACCATAGGTGGTTACCTCATGAAGTATTTTATGAAGCATTATATAATGCTTAAAATGCATTTTAATAAAAAATTAAAATAATTATGAAGTAGTTTCATCATAGTGATACATGTATATATGTGTATTTATATTGAAAAATATATAAATATGTAAATAAAATATTATTTTAACTATAATTGCCAATAAAATTTGGAGATAATATTGTTTACGTGTCCAGGAATGACAAATACTAAATAAATTCAGAAGGCAATTTTATCATCATCATCATCAATATTTTCACTATATGACTATGGACTCTATAATAAATGGCTGTTGTTCCTTATCTATGAAGTGAATGCAGTTTAGGAAATAATGAGCTAAACTTTTACCTTTGCATCTAGGGGGCTATTAACTTAAGTATTTCAATCCTCCTCACACCTCTGTTTTGTCCTGAGGCACCAACAGCTTAACTATTAGTTCAGTAATTTCATTATCTCTTTCTAAGATACTATAACTAAGCCAATAGGTGAATACATTAGTTGATATCCAGATGTTCCTTAGGCCTTAATCCCTTTTAGAACTGTGTGGGCCAAGGCCTTCATGTGTTCATTCATTCACTCACAATTACTCAAACAACCGCCATATATTTGCTCAGTGGGGGAATAGAAAAACTAATACACTAAATTTTCTACCCTCAAGAGGTTTTCCCAACAGTAGGCCGGATGAGACATGCACACAAATAATTCTATAAAGCAATATGTAATGAGCGTTAGTTATATTGTTATACAAACTAAATGCTATAGTTATATAGATTGATTGTTAATTCCAGGTGTAATGACAAAGTAGCTATTAAGGAAGACATGGTATTTGAACTGGGACTTGAAAGATGGCAGAGTTTTGAATGATAGAGAATAGAATAAGAAAGCATTCTAGAGGCTGGGTGCACTGGCTCAAGCCTGTAATCCTAGCACTTTGAGAGGCCAAGGTGGGAAGATTGCTTAAGGCCAGGAGTTCAGGATCAGCTTGTGAAACATAGTGAGATCCGATCTCTACAAAAAATTAAAAAATAAAAAGTAAATAGAAAAAAGCAAGGTAAGCAGAAGGGTTAAAAAGAGCATCTGTACTGTAAGAAAATACTTGAGTTGTTGCCAGGTGCAGTGGCTAACACCTGTAATCCTAGCACTTTGGGAGGCCAAGGCAGGTGGATCACTTGAGGCCAGGAGTTTGAGACCAGCCTGGCCAGCAAGGCAAAATCCTGTCTCTGCTAAAAATACAAAAATTAGCCAACTGCAGTGGTGCAAGCCTGTAGTCTCAGCTACTTGGGTGGCTGAGGCATGAGAATTGCTTGAGCCTGGAAGGTGGAGGTTGCAGTGAGGTGAGAGCATGCCACTGCACTCCAGCCTAGGTGACAGAGTGAGACTCTGTCTCAAAAAAAAAAAAAAATTACTTGAGCTGGAATAAGAAGACCTGAGCTTGACTCTCAAATCTGACATGCATTACCTGTGTGATTTTCTTTGGTAATGGTTACTCTCTGTATATGTTTTTGCCTCATCTTTACAGCACTGTTAGTGATACTATTAATAATACAGGACTATTATAAGAATTAAGCAATATTGGCTGGGCACAATGGCTCATGCCTCTAAGCCCAGCACTTTTAGAGGCGAGTTGGGCAGATCACTTGAGGTCAGGAGTTTGGGACCAGCCTGGCCAACATGGTGAAACCCTGTCTCTACTAAAAATACAAAAATTAGCCGAGCATGGTAGCGGGTGCCTGTAATCCCAGCTACTCAGGAGGCTGAGGCATGAGAATTGCTTGAACCTGGGAGGCAGAGTTTGCAGTGAGCTGAGATTGCACCACTGCACTGTAGCCTGGGTGACAGAGTGAGACTCTATCTCAAAAAAAAAAAAAAAGAATTAAGCAATATTTATTATGAATACTTATATTTCATACTTATTATGAAAAATTCTTGAAAATTATAAAGCCTTATATAAAGCCCCAGGATTAAGGGAAAAGAAAGTAGTCCAGATTTGATAATTCAGATTTTTAAAAAATATAGTAGACTGCATGATGGATTAGAGCAAAGAACATGGAGTCACTCTTCTTTGCTCTAATCCATCATGCATTCTACTATATTTTAAAAAAAATATAGAGATATATTAGGAAGCCATACAAATAGTCAGTGAGGGTGTGGTACCAGCTTGTAGCAGGGGTAAGAGACAAGATATGCAATAGTATCAGTAATAATAAAATCAGGAGATATTAGTATTAGAAGTAAGATATTGATAGAATTAGATAAGGAAGTGGATATGAAAGTAATTTTGAAACTGTATGCAATATGAGCCATCCCACGCAGATTCATTTCTTTTTTGGGTAATTCTTCAGATGCTGAATAAATCTATGAAAAAGAGAGAAAATGACACTTCATTCAAGAATACCCTTCTGGAACCCAGGAGGGGTTCAAGGGTATTCAAGAATAGCCTTCTGGAACCCAGGAGTGGAAAAATAATTGGGCTTCTTGCATATGAAAGTCTTCTGAAGGAAAGAAGACAGAAAAATGTTAAAATAGTACTTTTGAAACAGAATTAGCCTCTTGGGAGAAGACAAATTCGTTTGTGAGAAGTACAGTAGATGGCCAAGTATGATATTGACTGGCATAAAAAGACTAACTTGCCTAACACTGTATTCCCCAGTAGTCATGCTACAATGGTCAATGTTTACTGTTTTGAATTTTGAAATACTGAAGGTTTCTGTTATACATATATATATATATAAAAAAACAGAAAGTTATATATATAACAGAAAGTTATAAATATATATAAAACAAAGATATATATAACAGTAAGTTATATATATATATAACAGAAAATTATATATATAACAGAAAGTTACATATATATATAACAGAAAGTTATATATATATAACAGAAAGTTATATATATATATAACAGAAAGTTATATATATATATAACAGAAAGTTATATATATATAACAGAAAGTTATATATATATATAACAGAAAGTTATATATATATAACAGAAAGTTATATATATATATAACAGAAAGTTATATATATATAACAGAAAGTTATATATATATATAACAGAAAGTTTTATATATATATAACAGAAAGTTTTATATATATATAATTTTGGAATAATTCATCAAGGAAATGAATGGAGCTTGCTATAAAATGCCAGCAGAGGAACCCACTAGTAGAGAGGGAGCTTTTAAGGGCACAAAGCTTGTTGAAAAGGTATGACCTTAAAAGTAATTAATGTATCATTTATTTTTACCTAAAATGATGAGAAGAAAAAGCAATATAGGACAGGAGAATTTTGCTGAAGAGGCAGGGGACCATGAATGGTCTCATACTGGCATTGACAACATCTGGCATTGTTATACTGTGACAGTCTCCCACCCTTCATTCCTGGTTGCTATGTGTAATATGAGGCAGAATAATGGGCAATACCTTAGGAGAATTGCTCCCTAAATATTAGGTCCTTCTAGCAGTGCATGGAACTAGAAAGAGGAATTGTCATATACTGAGATAGGGAAAATTTTAGGAGGAGCAACTTCAAGGTGGAAGAAGGGCAGACTCTGGAGTTAAACTTTAGATGCATAAAGGTTTAGATGCCTATTAAGTATCCCAATAGAGACGTCAAATCAGCAGTTAGATTATAAAGTTGGATTTATAAGACCGGAGTTCAGGAGAGAGGTCTGAGCTAGAGACAAAAATTTGAGATTGCCAGTAATAGGGAAGTTATTTAAAGCCATGAAACTGAATGACATCACCAAGGGAAAGAATGGAAATGAAGAGAAAAGGGCAAAGGGCTGAGCCCTAGATCACTTCAACATTTATAGGCTGAGATGAGGATGAACTCTCAAAAGAGACTGTGGCTGATGAAGCAGACAGGAAATCAGCAAAGTATGCTATATAGGAGCCAAATAAGTATAGTGTTTCAAGGAGAAAGGAATGAGCAGCTGGTATTGAATGGTTAAGAAGGAAAGAAGTGAGAATTCCAATATCAGTCCTGGATTTCAAGGAAATGAAGATAACAAAGATTTTTTGTTTATTTGCTAGCTTCCTTTTAAAAATCACAGCTAGGCCGGGCGCGGTGGCTCATGCCTGTAATCCCAGCACTTTGGGAGGCCAAGGCAGGCGGATCACGAGGTCAGGAGATTGAGACCATCCTGGCTAGCATGGTGAAACCCTGTCTCTACTAAAAATACAAAAAATTAGCCGGGCGTGGTGGCGGGTGCCTGTAGTCCCAGCTGCTCAGGAGGCTGAGGCAAGAGAATGGCGTGAACCCAGGAGGTGGAGCTTGCAGTGAGCCGAGATTGCGCCACTGCACTCCAGCCTGGGCGACAGAACGAGACTCCGTCTCAAAAAAAAAAAAAAAAAAAAATCACAGCTAGAGAGGTAATGATTCTTACTGCCTTTAAGATAGACATATCTTTATGAAGATGTGAACTATCTTTATAAAGATTATAATCAGATTATTCATTGAAATTACTACACTTCCAAAATAGTCATATTTACTTATTGAGTTCCTTTCATGAAGAAGACTCTGTGCTAGTTGCAGGAGAAAAAAAGATAAGTAAAATATGGGCCCTATCTCAAAAAATAATTATTGCTACCATATTCTGTTACCTACTATATACTCGGCATTGTGCTAGGCACTTTACAAATATTACCTCAAATATATAAACAAATATATAATTACCTCAATATATAATTATATATAGCAAATATATAATTACCTCAATATATAATTATATATAACAAATATATAATTACCTCAATTATAAATAACTATATATAATTATATAACAAATATATAATTACCTCAAATATATAAACAAATATAGGTATTTTTATAATCACTTTAAAGATAAGAAAATTGAGGTACTGACAGGTTAAATGACTTGACCAAGTCATTTGTGTACTAGTAATAAGAGGAGGAACCATGTGTGTATGTGTGTGTGAAAGAAAGAGACCATTTATTTAACTCAGCAGTTTTATGGTTCAGTAATTTGGGCTGGACTTTGATGGGCAGCTTTTCTGGTCTCAGTTGAACTGGTTTATGCATCTGCAGTCAATTTCCAGGAACCTAAGAGGTTCTGCTTTTAGAGTTTAGCAAAAAGCAGCCAGGAGATGGGGATGACTGCACTATATGTCTCTCATCCTGCATCAGGCTAGTACCAGCTTATTCACATGGACTAGCAGGTTTCCAAGCAGAAGTACGCAAGTCTCGTAAGGCCTGGACTCAGAACTGGCACACAATATTACTTCTTCCACATTGTATTGGTCAAAGCAAGTCACAAGGACCCCATACAAGGTGTGGGGAAACTGCCCAATAAATACGCCCACAACATCTTGCACTTAGTAGATGCTCTGTAAGTGCTTATTGAACAAATGATGACTTCAGTCTTTTTTTTTCTTTTTTTTTTTTCCTTTTTGAGACGGAGTCTTGCTCTGTCACCCAGGCTGGTGTGCAGTGGCACAATCTCGGCTCATTGCAACCTCTGCCTCCCAGGTTCAAGCAATTCTCATGGCTCAGCCTCCTGAGTAGCTGGGATTACAGGCGCGCCACCACACCCAGATAATTTTTCATATTTTTAGTAGAGATGGGGTTTCACCATGTTGTCCAGGGTGGTCTCTAACTCCTGATCTCAGGTGATCCGCCCGCCTCGGCCTCTCAAAGTACTGGGATTACAGACATGAGCCACCACACCCAGCCCACTCCTATTTTTCGTTTCAGAATAGCAAATGATAAGTGCAAGAAATGGGGGCAAGAGGCGGCCCCAATGAGGATCTCAGTGAACAAGCTTAGCTGGCCCCAAAAAAAGCTCCTCTAAAGAGATCCAGGGCATCCTCAGAAACCTAGTATTTGGCCCAAGCCTGGCCACCTGAATTAGAAGCTACATGCCCTTTGTTATGGGTAGAGAAAAACTTCTAGACTTTTGTCAGGGCATGGAGACAGTCTCCTTTGATTCCCCCACCCCCCAAATTTAACAACTTTATTAAGACATAAATGATGCAGAAAAAATTGCACATATTTAAAACGTGCAAAAAATTTTTTGAGGCAGGGTCTCATTCTGTCATCCAAGCTGTAGTGCAGTGGCGTGATCATGGCTCACTGCAGGCTCAATTTCCCAAGTGCAAGCCATCTTTTGCCTCAGCCTCCCAAGTAGCTGGAACTACAGGTGTGAGCCACCATGCCCAGCTAATTTTTGAAAAAGTTCTTGTAGAGATGAGGTCTCACTATGTTGCCCAAGCTGGCCTCAAACTCCCGAGCTCAAACCATCTACCTGCCTTGGCCTGCCAAAATACTGGAATTACAGGCATGAGCCACTATGCCTGGCCTAAAGTGTGCAATTTGATACCTCTTGACATATATAAACACCTGTGAAACTATCACCACCACCAAGATAATTATATCTATCACCCCAAATTTTCTCATGCCCCTTTCCCTCATGCCTCTCTCTGTCTATTCCTTCCCAGGAAACCACTAATTTGCTTTCTGTCACTGTAGGTTAGTTTGCATTTTCTAGAATTTTATTTAAGTAAAATCACACACACTTTTTTGTCCAGCTTCTTTCGTTCAGCATAATTATTTTGAGATTCACCCATGTTGTGTGTATCAATACTTCTTCCTTTTTATTGCTGACTAATATTTCTCTGTATAGTTACTCTTCAATTACAGTCATCCCTCAGTTTTCTTGGGGACTGGTTTCAGGATTCCCACGTTTACCAAAATCTGCACACGTTCAAGTCCCACAGTCAGCCCTGCAGAAAGAACCCTTGTATAAAAGAGAAGTTGCCCTGTTGTATACATGGGTTTTGCATCTCTTGAATACTGTATTTTCAATCTGCATTTGGTTGAAAAAAATTCATAAATAAGTTCACCTGCATAGGTCAAACCCATGTTGTTCAAGAGTGAAATGTTTTTATCTGTGTACTTGCTGATGTACTTTTTGGGTTGTGGTAGCCAATTTTTTGTTGTTGTTCAATTAACTTATTAATTTATTTTTTTGAAGGAGTGTATCAGTTCGTTTTCACTCTGCTATGAAGAAATACCTGAAACTGAGTAATTTATAAGAAAAGAGGTTTAATTGGCTCATAGTTCTGCAGGCTGTACAGGAAGCATAGCAGCTGGCATCTGCTGAATTTCTGGAGAGGCCTCAGAAAACTTAAAATCATGGCAGAAGGCAAAGGAGGGGTGAAGGCCTCACATGGCCAGAGCAGGAGAAAGTCGGGGAGGTGCTACACACTTTTAAACAACCAGATCTTGTGAGAACAAAATCACTATACAGTACAAAGAGGGGACACTGCTAAACCATTAGAAACTGCCCCCATCAGGGCCAAGGTGGCCGACTAGAAGCAGTGGTGATTGGAGGCTCCCATCAAAAAGGACCATAATAAGCATGTGAATCCTTCACCAGCAACCAAGGTATTCAGGTTCTCATCAGAATGGACTAGGGGACTGGCGTGACCCACGGAGAGGAAAGAAGAGCAGTGTAGTGAGGTGGCCCACCTGAGAGCCACACAGGGCAGTGGAGTCCCCAGCCCACAGCCAAGGGAGGTGGTGAGTGGGCATGGTAGCCAGCTGGGGAAACAGTGCTTTTTCCACAGAACTGGGCGGCCCACAGATCAGAAGATCCCACTCGCAAACCCATGCCACTAGGGCCTAGTGTCCCAACCCCAGAGCCGTACATATTCTCAATAGCCTCTCAGCTAGAATCTGCTTAAGCCTACCAAGCTCCTGGGGGGAAGGGGCAACCAGCACCACGGTTGCAGCTGCCTGCTGTCTAAGCCATTTGAGCTCCTTGGGGGAGGGGCAGCAGCCAGCACTGGGACTCACAACTGCCTAACACACTGAGCTCCCTGGGCAGGGGAAGGATGGCAGCCATCTCTATGGCTCCAGGCCACACTTTTCCCCTGCTGGGGCCAGGAAGGCTGGACGGCTTGGTCCCAAGATGTGTCCCCCACAGCCCAACACACTGGCTGTGACATACTGTGTCCAGAGTGCCTCTTCAAGCCTGACCCTGACTCATCCTTCCTCACTGGGCAGGGCTTCCCTGCAGGGACTCCAGTAACTCCAGCCAGAGGCTCAGGGACAGAACCCGGATCTCCTGGGCCTGAGCCCCTAGGGGGAGGAGTTGCCACAGTCTCTGGACCAGCAGACTTAGCCTTTCCTCCTGGTAGTTCTGAGGAATCCAGGCAGCCCAGAGGAGTGGGTTTCCCACCCAGCAAAGCACACCCCTCCACCAAGGGACAAAGTACTTCATTAAACAGGTCCTGTTCCCTATGCCACCCAACTGGGTGAGACCCTCCAACAGGTGTTGTCAGACACCCTATACAGGAGTGATCCTACTGGCATCAGTTTGGTGCCCCTTGAGGTCAGAGGTCCCAGAAGAAGGAGCAGGCACTCATCTTTGCTGTTCTCCTCCTTGAGTGACATCTCCAGGCACAAGAACGAACCAGATGAATAGGGCCTGAAGTGGAACCCCCCAGCAAATCGCAGTATCCCTACAGAAGAGGGATCTGACCATTGAAAGAAAAACAAACAAACAAACAGTAACAACACAGCAAAAAGCCCCCACAAAAACCCCATCCAAGGATCAGCAGCCTCAAAGATCGAAACTACACAAACTCATGAAGATCAGAAAGAATCAACAAAAAAATGCTGAAAACCCAAAAGGCCAGAGTGCCTCTTCCCCTCCAAATGATTGCATTGTCTCTCCAGAAAGGGCGCAGAACTGGACGGAGGATGAGATGGGTGAATTGACAGAAGTAGGCTTCAGAAGATGGATAATAAAAAACTATGCTGAGCTAAAGGAGCATGTTCTAATTCAATATGAAGAAGCTAAGAACCTTGATAAAAGGTTAGAGGAGCTGCCAGCTAGAATAACCAGCTTAGAGAGGAACATAAGTGATCTGATGGAGCTGAAAAACACAGCACGAGAACTTTGTGAAGCATACACATTATCAATAGCTGAATCGACCAGGCAGAAGAAAGGATATCAGAGTTTGAAGACCACCTTGCTGAAATAAGGCATGCAAACAAGGCTAGAGAAAAAAGAATGAAAAGGAATGAACAAAGCCTCCAAGAAATATGGGACTTCGTAAAAAGACAGAACCTATGATTGATTGGAGTACCTGAAGGAGATGGGGAGAATGGAAACAAGCTGGAAAACACACTTCAGGCTATTCAGGAGAACTTCCCCAACCTAGCAAGAAAGGCCAACATGCAAATTCACAAAATACAGAGAGCACCACCAAGATACTCCATGAGACGATCAACCCCAAGACACATAATCATCAGATTCTCCAAGGTTGAAATGAAGGAAAAAAATGTTAAGGACAGCCAGAGAGAAAAACCAGGTCACCTACAAAGGGAAGTCCATCAGACTAACAGTGGAGCTCTCAGCAGAAACTCTACAAGGCAGAAGAGATGGGGGGGCCAATATTCAACATTCTCAAAGAAAATAATTTTCAACCCAGAATTTCATATCCAGCCAAACTAAGCTTCATAGTGAAGCAGAAATAAAACCCTTTCCAGACAAGCAAATGCTGAGGGATTTCATTATCACAAGGCCTGCCTTGTAAGAGCTCCTGAAAGAAGCACTAAATATGGAAAGGAAAACTGCTACCAGCCACTGCAAAAACACATCAAAATATAAAGACCAATGACACTATGAAGAAACTGCATCAACTAGTGTGCAAAATAACCAGACAGCATCATGACAGAATCAAATTTACACATAATAATACTAACTTTAAATGTAAAAGGGCTAAATGCCCCAGTTAAAAGACACAGACTGGCAAATTGGATAAAGAGTCAAGACCCATCAGTGTGCTGTATTCAGGAGACCCATCTCATGTGCAAAGACACACATAGGCTCAAAATAAAGGGATGGAAGAAAATTTACCAAGCAAATGTAAGGCAAAAAAAAAAAAGCAAGGGTTGCAATCCTAGTCTCTGACAAAACAGACTTTAAATCAACAAAGATTAAAAAAAGACAAACAAGGGCATTACCTAATGGTAAAGGGAACGATTCAACAAGAAGAGCTAACTGTTCTAAATATATATGCACCCAATACAGGAGCACCCAGATTCATAGAGCAAGTTCTTAGAGACCTACAAGGAGACTTAGACTCCCACACAATAATAGTGGGAGACTTTAACACCCCACTGTCAATATTAGATCAATGAGACAGAAAATAAACAAAGATATTCAGGACTTGAACTCAGCTCTGGATCAAGTGGAACTAATAGACATCTACAGAACTCTCCACCCCAAGTCAACAGAATATACATTCTTCTCAGTGCTACATGGCACTTATTCTAAAATCAACCACAGAATTGGAATTAAAGGACTCCTTAGCAAATGCAAAAGAATTGAAATCATAACAAACAGTCTCTCAGACCACAGTGCAATCAAATTAGAACTCAGAATAAAGAAACTCACTCAAAACCACACAATTACATGGAAATTGAACAACCTGCTCCTGATTGACTACTGGGTAAATAATGAAATTAAGGCAAAATCAAAAAGTTATTTGAAACCAATGAGAACAAAGAGACAATATACCAGAATCTCTAGGCTACAGCTAGTTAAGCAGTGTTAAGAGGGAAATTTATAGCACTAAATACCCACATTGGAAAACTAGAAAGATCTCAAATTGACACCCTAACATCACAATTAAAAGAGCTAGAGAGGCAAGAGCAAACTAATCCAAAAGCTAGCAGAAGACAAGAAATAACTAAAATCAAAGCAGAATTAAAGGAGATAGAGACATGAAAAACCCTCCAAAAAATCAATGAATCCAGGGGCGGATTTTTTTAAAAAATTAACAAAATAGACTGCTAGCTCAATTAATAAAGAAGAAAAGAGAGAAGCATCAAATAGGCACAATAAAAAATGATAAAGGGGATATCACCACTGACCCCATGGAAATACAAACTACCATCAGAGAATGCCATAAACACCTCTACACAAATAAACTAGAAAATCTAGAAGAAATGGATAAATTCCTGGACACATACACCCTCCCAAGACTCAACTAGGAGAAGTCCAATCCCTGAGTAGACCAATAACAAGTTCTGAAATTGAGGCAGTAATTAATAGCCTACCAACCAAAAAAATTAAAAAGCCCAGGACCAGATGGATTCACAGCCAAATTCTACCAGAGTTACAAAGAGGAGCTGGTACCATTCCTTCTGAAATTATTCCAAATAATTGAAAAGGAGGGACTCCTCCCTAACTCATTTTATGAAGCCAGCATCATCCTGATACCAAAACCAGGAACAGACCCAAGAAAAGAAAGAAAACTTCAGGCCAATATCCCTGATGAACATCAATGTGAAAATCCTCAATAAAATACTGGCAAACCAAATCCAGCAGCACATCAAAAAGCTTATCCATCATTTTCAAGTTGGCTTCATCCCTGGGATACAAGGCTAGTTCAACATATGCAAATCAATAAACATAATCCATCACATAAACAGAACCAATGACAAAAACCACGTGATTATCTCAATAGATGCAGAAAAGGCCTTCAATAAAATTCAACATCCCTTCATGTTAAAAGCTCTTAATAAACTAGATATTGATGGAACGTATGTCAAAATAATAAGAGCTATTTTTGGCAAACCCACAGCCAATATCATATTGAATGGGCAAAAGCTGGAAGCATTCTCTTTGAAAACCAGTACAAGACAAGAATGCCCGCTCTCACAACTCCTATTCAACATAGTATTGAAAGTTCTGGCCAGGGCAATCAGGCAAGAGAAAGAAATAAAAGTGTATTCAAATAGGAAGAGAGGAAGTCAGATTGTTTCTGTATGCAGATGACATGATTGTATATTTAGAAAACCCCATCATCTCAGCCCAAAACTTCCTTAAACTGATAAGCAAATTCAGCAAAGCCTCAACATACAAAATCAATGTGCAAAAATCACAAGCCTTCCTTTACACCAATAATAGACAAGCAGAGAGCCAAATCATGAGTGAATTCCTATTCACAATCACTACAAAGAGAATAAAATACCTAGGAATACAGCTAACAAGGGATGTGAAGGACCTTTTCAAGGAGAACTACAAACCACTGCTCAAGGAAATAAGAGAGGACACAAACAATTGGAAAAACATTCCAACCTCATGGATAGGAAGAGTCCATATCTTGAAAATGGCCATACTGCCCAAAGTAGTTTATAGATTCAATGCTATCCCCATCAAATTACCACTGACATTCTTCACAGAATTAGATAAAACTACTTTAAATTTCATATGGAATCAATGAAGTCCCTGTATAGCCAAGACAATCCTAAGCAAAAAGAACAAAGGTGGAGGCATCGCGCTACCTGACTTCAAACTATACTACAAGGCTACAGTAACCAAAACAGCATGGTACTGGTACCAAAACAGACATATAGACCAATGGAACAGAACAGAGACCTCAGAAATAATGTCATACATCTACAACCATCTGATCTTCAACAAACCTGACAAAAACAAGCAATGGGGAAAGGATCTCCTATTCAATAAATGGTGCTGGGAAAACTGGCTACCCATATGCAGATAATTGAAACTGGATCCCTTCCTTTCGCCTTATACAAAAATTAACTCAAGATGGATTAAAGACTTAAATGTAAAACCCAAAACCATAAAAACCCTTGAAGGAAACGTAGGCAGTACCATTTAGGACATAGGCATGGGCAAAACTTCATGACAAAAATGCCAAAAGCAATTGCAACAAAAGCCAAAATTGACAAATGGGATATAATAAAACTAAAGAGCTTCTGCACAGCAAAATAAACTATCATCAGTGTAAACAGGCAACCTACAGAATGGGAGAAAATTTTTGCAATTTACCCATCTGACAAAGGTCTGATATCCAGAATTTACAAGGAACTTAAACAAATTTACAAGAAAAAAAAAACCCTATCAAAAAGTGGGCAAGGGTTATGAACAGACACTTCTCAAAAGAAGATTTTTATGCATCCAACAAACATATGAAAAAAAGCTCAACATCAATGATCATTAGAGAAATGCAAAACAAAACAACAATGAGATACCATCTCATGACAGTCAGAATGGTGATTATTAAAAAGGCAAGAAATAATAGTGGTTGGCAAGGTTGTGGAGAAATAGGAATGCTTTTACACTGTTGATGGGAATGTAAATTAGTTCAACCATTGTGGAAGACAGTATGGCGATTCCTGAAGGATCTAGAACCAGAAATACCATTTGACCCAGCAATTCCATTACTCGGTAAATACCCAAAGGAATATAAATCATTCTGCTATAAAAACATATGCACATGTATGTTTGTTGCAGCACTATTTATAATAGCAAAGTCATGGAACCAACCCAAATGCCCATCAATGATAGACTGGATAAAGAAAATGTGGTACATATATACTATGGAATACTATGCAGCCATTAAAAGGAATGAGATCATGTCCTTTGAGGGGACATGGATGAAGCTGGAAGCCATCATCCTCAGCAAACTAACACAGGAATAGAAAACCAAACACCGCATGTTCTTATGCATAAGTGGGAGTTGGTCAGTGAGAACACATGGACACAGGGAGAGGAACAACACACACCAGAGCCTGTTGGGGGCATGGGGCGAGGGGAGGGAACTTAGAGGATGGATCAATAGGTGCAGCAAACCACCATGGCACATGTATACCTATGTAACATACCTGCATGTATTCTGCACTTGTATCCTGGAACTTAATGTAAAAGAAAAAATTTTAAGAAAAAGAAACTGCCCCCATGGGCCAATCACCTCCCACCAGGCCCCACCTTCACCACTGGGGATTACAATTTGACATGAGATTTGGGTGGGGACACAGATCCAAACCATATCATTCTTCCTTTGGCCCTTTCAAATCTCATGTCCATCTTACATTGCAAAATACAATCATCCCTTCTCAACCATCCCCCAAAGCCTTAACCCATTTCAGCATTAACTCAAAAGTCCAAAGTCTCATCTGAGACAAGCCAAGTCCCTTCCACCTATGAGCCTGTAAAATCAAAAACAAGTTAGTTACTCCCAAGATACAATGGGAGTACACGCATTGGGTAAATACTCCCATTCCAAAAGAGAGAAATCAGCCAAAAGAAAGGGGCTACAGGCCTCATGCAAGTCCAAAACCCAGCAGGAAAGTCATTAAATCTTAAAGTTCCAAAATAATCTCTTTTTACTCTGTGTCCCACATCCAGGGCACACTGGTATGAGGGGTGGACTCCCAAAGTCCTGGGCAGCTTCACCCCTGTGGCTTTGCAGGGTTCAACCCACACAGCTGTTCTCAGGGGCTGATGTTGAGTGCCTCTGCCTTTTCCAGACACAGGGTGCAAGCTGCCAATGGATCTACCATTCTGGGATCTGGAGGACAATGGCCCTCTTCTTCTCACAGCTCCACTAGGCAGTGTCCCAGTGGAGACTAAATATGGGGGTTCCAACCCCACATTTCCCCTCTCCACTGTCCTAGTAGAGGTTCTCTGTGAGGGCTCTACCCCTGCAACAAGCTTCTGTCTGAATATACAGGCTTTTCCATACATCCTCCATACATACATAGGCAGAGGCTCCCAAGCCTCAACTCTTGCATTCTGTACACCCACAGGCTTAACACCACATGAAAGCCACCAAAGCTATGGATTGCACATTTTGAAGCAGCTGCCTGAGCTGTACCTAGGCCCCTTTGAGCCGAGGCTGGACCTGGAGCAGCTGGGACACAGGGAGCAGTGTCCCAAGGCTGTGCAGAATGGTGGGGCCCTGAACCTGGCCCAAAAACCATTCTTCTTTCCTAGGTCTCTGGGCCTGTGGTAGGAAGGGCTGCCACAAAGATCTATGAAATGCCTTCCAGCCCTTTTCCCCATTGTCTTGGCTATCAGCGTTTGCTTTCCTTTTACTTTTGCAAATTTCTGCAGCCTGCTTGAATTCCTCCCCAGAAAATAGGCTCTTCTTTTCTACCACATGGCCAGTCTGCAAATTTTCCCAACTTTTACATTCTGCTTCCCTTTTAAACATAAGTTCCAGTTTTATGTCATTTCTTTGCTCATGCATATGAGCATAGGCTGTTAGATGCAGCCAGGCCAAATCTAGAATGCTTTGCTGCTTAGAAATGTCTTCCTCCAGATACCCTGGATATCATCACTCTCAAGTTCAAAGTTTCATAGATCTCTAGGGAAGGGCCACAATGCCTCCAAGTTCTTTGCTAAAGTATAACAAAAGTGACCTTTGCTCCAGTTCCCAATAAATTCCTCATTTCTATCTGGAGACTTCCTCAGCCTGGCCTTCACTGTCTAGCATTTTGATCACAACCATTGATCACTACCAGCATTTTGACCACAACCATTCAAGTTTAGGAATTTTTAAACTTTTCCTCATCTTCCTGTCTTCTTCTGAGCCTTGCAAACTGTTCCAGCCTCTGCCTGTTACCCAGTTCCAAAGCTGCTTCACATTTTCAGGTATCTTTATAGCAATCCCCGACTCCTGGTAAGAACTTTCTATATTAGTCTGTTATCACTGCTCTAAATAAATACCTGAGACAGGGTAATTTATAAAGAAAAGAGGTTTAATTTGCTCACAGTTCTGCAGGCTGTATGGGAAGCATAGTGGCTGGCATCTGCTTGTCTTCTGGGGAGGCCTTAGAAAACTTACAATCATGGCAGAAGGCATGAGGTGACTGAGCACCTCACATCACCAGAGCAGGAGGAAGGTGGGGGAAGGTGCTACACATTTTTAAACAACTAGATCTTGTGAGAACTCACTGTACAGTACCGAAGGCAGATGGTGCTAAACCATTAGAAACTGTTCCCATGATCCAATCACCTCCCACCAGGCCCCAACTCCAACACTGGGGACTACGTTTCAATATGAGATTTGGATGGGGACACAGATCCAAACCATATCAGGGAATATCCACCACCTCAAGTGTTTATCCTTTGTATTACAAACAATCCAATTATACTCTTTTAGTTATTTTAAAATGTAGAATTAAATTATCAACTCAGGTCACCCCATTGTGCTATCACATACTAGATCTTATTCATTGTTTCTGATATGGTTTGGCCCAAATCTCATGTCAAATTGTAATCCCCATTGTTGGAGGTGGGGCCTGGTGGGAGGTGACTGGATCATGGGGGCAGTTTCTCATAAATGGTTTAGCACCATCGCCCTAGTGCTGTTCCCATGATAGAGTTCTCATGAGATCTGGTTGTTTAAAAGTGTGTAGTACCTCTGCCCCTCTCTCTCTTCCTCCTGCTCTGGCCATGTAAGACATGCTTGCTTCATTTTCACCTTCTGCCATGACTGTAAGTTTCCAGAGGCCTCCCCAGAAGCCAAAGAGAAGCCACTATGACTCCTATACAGCCTACAGAACTATGAGCCAATTAAACCTCTTTTCTTTATAAATTACCCAGTCTCAGGTATTTATAGTAGTGTGAGAACTGCCTAATATAGTTTCTAACTATTTTTTGTATCCATTAACCATCTCTACTTCCCCCACATTCCCCCACAACCCTTCCCAGCTTCTGGTAACTATCATTCTACTCTCTATCTCCATGAGTTCAGTTGTTTTAATTTTTAGCTCCCACTAATAAGTGAGAATATGTGAAGTTTGTCTTTCTGTCCCTGGCTTATTTCACTTAACATAATGACCTCCAGTTTCATCCATGTTGTTGCAAATGACAGGATCTCATTCTTTTTCATGAGTGAATAGTACTTCACTGTGTATAAGGACCATATTTTCTTTATCTGTTCATCTGTTGATGGGCACTTAGATTGCTTTCAAATCTTAGCTATTATGAATAGTGCTGCAGTAAACATAGGAGTGCAGATATCTCTTTGATGTACTGATTTTCTTTCTTTTGAGTACGTATATGCCTAGCAGTGGGATTGTAGGATCATATGGTAGCTCTATTTTTAGTTTTTTGAGGATCCTCCAAACTGCTCTCCATAGTGGTTTACACTAATTTACATTCCCGCTGACAGTGTACAAGGCTTCTATTTTCTCCACATTCTCACCAGAATTTGTTTTGTTTTTTAGAAACAGGCTCTTGTTCTGTCACCCATACTTGGAGTGCAGTGGTACAATGATAGCTCACTGCAGCCTCAAACTCCTGGTCTCAAGCAATCCTCTCACCTCAGCCTCCCAGGTAGCTAAGTTTTTAAATCCAGTTTTGCTTGACTTGAATGTCTATGACTTTATCAACTGTGGAATACAGTTTGTTATGGGCTGAATTGTGTCTCCCCCACCCCAATTCATATGTTGAAGCCTTAACCCCCAATGTGACTGTATTTTGAGATACGGTCTTTAGGGAGGTAATTAAGGTTAAATGAGTTCCTAAGGGTGGGTTCCTAATCCAACAGGACTGGTGTCATTACAAGAGGAAGAAACCCCACAGTGCATGCTTATGCACACCTCTCTCTCCCTCTCTCTCACCCGCACACAGAAAAAAAAGGCCTTATGAAGACATTGCAAAAGGACAACTATCTGCAAACCAGGAAGACAGACCTCACCAGAAATCAACCCTGCTGGTGGTACCTTGATCTTAGACTTCCAGCCTCCAGAAGTATGAGAAAATAAATATCTGTAATTTAAGTCACCTAGTCTATGGTATTTTGTTATGGCAACCCTAGCACACTAATGCACACTTCAATTGAAAGAATTAGTGATATCTCAAATTCAACAAGTGCAAAATGAACCCAAGATCTTCCCCACCAGAACTTGGTCCTCTATTAGCATGCTTGATCTCTCTGAATGACACCACTATTTAACCTGTTATGGTAGCCCAAAACCTAGACATTACTCTTCACATTTTCCTTTCTCTCTCTCACCTGTTCTCTCATTTTTCAGTTTATCTCTCAGTTCTGTCAATTCATTTCTTGACTATTCCTTAAACCCAGACATTTCTGTTTTCCTCCACTGCCATCTCTCTACTTCAAGTACCATTCTCTCTTACCTGGACTAGCCATAGTGTCCTAATTGATCTCTTTTTATTCATTCTTGCTCCCCTATAACTCATTCTTCACATGATAGCCAGAGTGTTATAGTAAAAACCAAAGCCAGGGCCAGGCAAGGTGGCTCACACCTGTAATCCCAGCACTTTGGGAGGCCAAGGCAGGCAGATCACCTGAGGTCAGGAGTTCAAGACCAGCCTGGCCAACATGGCGAAACCCCATCTCTACTAAAAATACAAAATTAGCTGGGCATGGTGGTGCATGCCTGTAGTCCCAGCTACTCATGAGGCTGAGGCAGGAGAACAGCCTGAACCCAGGAGGCAGAAGTTGCAGTAAGCTGAGATCGCACCATTGCACTCCAGCCTGGGCGACAAGAGGGAAACTCCATCTCAAAAAAAAAAAACCCAAAGCCCGATATCAACCTTCTACCAAGAACAGTGCCCAGTACTATTAGAATTAAGACCAAATTTCCTAACATGATCTACAAGGCACTTTATAAGCTGACCCCTGCCTCTCTCTCCAATCTGTTTCACTAGTTCCCCTTATTCTCTGTACTTCAGCCACACTGGCCTTTCCATTCCCTAAATGTGCTTACTTCTCCCAGTCACAGGGCTTTTGAACATGCAGTTTCCTCTGTCTGGACTCTCTCTGTCCTTCTGGCTGACTCTACCTCAATCGTTCTTTCACTAGAGAAACTTTCTGGGACCTCTCTGCCTAAAGTAACTCAACCTATTATGGATCTAACATTACAATGGTAATTTTACATTTGTCTGTATGATTCTTTAATTAATGTCTGTTTTCCCAGTGCCTAGCACAAATATAAATATGATAGGAATTATTGTAAAATGCAGAAATCTTCTAGAAAGGTGTGTGTATGCCCTGAAACTATGTAAAATTCTTTGTACATTGACTGGGTATATCTTTTCTTGCAGAGAAGGGCCACAGTTTATATCATACTTTCATTTATTAGGGGGAAATTAGGGTCAGCAATTGGCCTATTTTTAAATTTTTAGTTGGCCTGGACTTCCCTATTTAAAAGCAAAAGAAGGCCGGGCATGATGGCTCATGCCTGTAAGCCCAGCACTTTGGGAGGGTGAAGTGGGCAGATCACTTGAGGTCAGGAGTTTGAGACCAGCCTGGCCAACATGGCAAAACCCCATCTCTACTAAAAATACAAAAAGTAGCCTGACATGGTAGTGCAACATAATCCCAGCTACTAGGGAGGCTGAGGCAGAATTGCTTGAAGCTGGGGGGCGGAAGTTGCAGTGAGCCGAGATCACACCACTGCGCTCCAGCCTGGGTGACAGATGGAGAGTCCATCTCAAAAAACTAAATTAAATAAATAAATAAATATATATATATATATAATATAAAAGCAAAAGAGGAGAGGGGGAAAATGAGTTAAAGGCCTAATGCTGTTCACATTATAAGGTATAGCTCTAACTTCATTGCATACCAGGGCTGTGTTATACAGAATAGTTAGGAAAATGTTTATTTTCCTCCTTATTGATACAGCACTAAAAATTGATGTCTGTCCTTGGGAGATCAATGTGTATATATGTGCCTGATCCAATAATTGTCTCCCAGATCCTTAGACTGCCAAAACTCTTCCCTAGGCTCTAAACTATGCAACTGGACTTAAGAGTGTAAAGCCCACCAGGAACCCCATCCCTTCCCTATGGTATTATTCTAGACTAAAATGTGCAAGGTGAGGCAATGTGCTACTAAAGATACTCAGATCCATAGACTACCAGGAGATGGGAGGAAGATGTAGCAAACCATTTCTACCATTGAGGGAAATGGCTCAAACCATCTGCAGCAGAAAAATGAAGAGTATCCTCTAACTGGGCAGAGAAGCCTTCTTGAGCAGCAGAGTGCAGGTGGGTAAACCCATAACAGATGTGGAGCAACCCCTTTCACCTTCACTTTTCCCAACCCTACCAAGGAAGGCAATCCTAATCGGTGAGAGTATCATCTAGGGAGGAGGACTGTGAAGGAGGGCTTCCCAAGGGAAAAGACATCTGAGCTACATTTTAAGCTAATAAAAAATTTTCATAAACTATTATGTAAAACTAATAAAAATCTTCATGAGCAGAGTTCAAGGAACTGAAGCATAAGTAGGTAAATATATTTCCCCAAAGAAAATATGAAGCATATGGCTTGGCAGCTGATTTGGCAACAAGACAGAATATTTGAAATTGAGACTCTCTAGAAAATAGAGAGCATATGGTCACTCACAGCATAGGGTGTAGCTTGGGAAAAGGTTCTAAGGTGTGAGAGGAATGAGCCAAGGAAAGAGTACACTGAGATTAAGCAAATGTCTAATGGCATCAGTGTTGATTGCAGGGAGTTAAAAATAGAGCTAAGATATGGAAGCCAACAAGAACCCCTGAAGAGTTTCTCTCTTTACTCTGGTGTGATTGATATTAGCAGCCTCCAGCAATGCCCAGTGGGTAGGCTTTAGAAGAGGGTGATGATGGATTTTGAGGTAATATTGGACATGAAGGTCAGCAAAAAACAGCAAAGCAGTTAGAAAACAGGCAGCAAATACTGCAGCAAAGATACTGATTGCACTTCCTCTAAACTCCCACCTTGTGACAAATGCCAGCATCATAAGTATTTTTATTTAATAGTTTATATGTTCTTTAAATAGAAGAAAAGCTGGGCACAGTAGCTTGCACCTGTAGTCCCAGCACTTTGTCAGGCTGAGGTGGGAGGATCACTTGAGCCCAGGAGTTTGAGACCAGTCTGGGCAACAAAGTGAGACCCCATCTCTAAGTAAATAAGATAAATAAACAAATAAATTAAAAAGACAAAAGATGTAATTTTTTTTCTTTTTGAAAGGGAGAAAATATTTTTAACCTAAAGAAAAAACAGATTGATTAGATAAATTGCATTTTTGTACCACCTACTTAATTCCTTCCTATACAAGGTATACATTTCCAAGCACCCATATTTAAAATAGATAATTCACTCTGAGTATGATACTTTTAGGATTAAAATAAAATAAATTTTGAAAATCTAAACACTTCTTGAGAATGAAATAAAAGAATGAAAAATCAACTAGAAAGCTATTTCAGGGAGGAAATAATTTGTAAAAACCAAGTGGCTAGATGATGATGACAAACCAAATAATGTCAATTAATGAAGGGGATGATAATTACTTTCAGAATGTGAGTTTGCTTCTCCGCATTTCAAGATGGAATTAAGTGGTTAATCTCATATATCTACAATGAAGAAAAACAAACACTTGATAGGAGCAGATAATTCACAAAAGAAGAAATACAAGGCCAAAAGATACATTAAAATGTTAGCCTCACTTGTAATCAATAAAACAATGAGATACCTCTTGGTTTATCCAATTAATGATGATTAAAAAGAATGATAATACTCAGTGTTGTTGAGGGTGGAAGTAGTCTCATAGCTGACTGGTAAGAGCATAAAAAAGGCACAACTTTTCTGGGAGGCAATTTGTCAAGATATAAGAAAACCCTCAAGACTGGTTTTCTTGCAGAGTTACCAAGACTGGTATCTCTGGTGTAAAAATTCAATATCTAATATTTATTTTTGAGAAATAATCAGAAAAACGTTGAAGGATAAATACACAATTTTGGCAGTATTATTTATAAAGACTAACAATGTTTAACAAAATTCAATGATAGCCTGGGAGTGGTGGCTCACGCATGTAATCCCAGCACTTTGGGAAGCCAAGGCAGGAGGATTGTTTGAGTTCAGGAGTTCAAGACCATCCTGGGCAACATAACAAGACTTCCTTTTTACTAAAAATCACAAACATTAGCTGGGCCTGGTGGTGTGCCTGTAGTCCCAGCTACTCAGGAGGCTGAGGCTGGAGGATCGCTTAGCCCAGGAGATTGAGGCTGCAGTGAGATATGATTACACCACTACACTCCAGCCTAAAAAACTCAATGATGTGCTAGGTGTGGTAGCTCACGCCTGTAATCCCAGCACTTTGGGAGGTCGAGGCGGGCAGATCATGAGGTCAGAAGTTCGAGACCAGCCTGGCCAACATGGTGAAACCCCATCTCTACTAAAAATACAAAAAATTAGCTGGGCATGGTGGCACGTGCCTGTAATCCCAGCTACTCAGGAGGCTGAGGCAGGAGGATTGCTTGAACCCAGGAGGCGGAGGTTGTGGTTAGCGGAGATCCCGCCATTGCACTCCAGCCTGGGTGACAGAGCAAGATTCCATCTCAAAAAAAAAAGAAAAAAAAAACTAAATGATGACATGTTATGATACTTCTATACATTGTAAAAGTGTGCAATCATTTGAAATTATATCTATCCAGAAAGAAATCCACAATTCTACCAATAAAGCAGGTTCTGAAATAGTATGCATCATTTGATCCCCCACATTTTAAAAAATTGTATAATTAAAGATATGAGTGTTTACAGAAAAGAATATCGAAATGTTAGTAGTGGCAGAATTATGGATGCTTGTTTCTATTTCTCTTCCAGTATTTTTATTTTATTTAATAAAGATGTATTGCTTATGCAATAGCATTGTAATAACCATTTTAATGAGCAGGAGTATTTTTATTGAAGGTTTCCCCTCCAAAGGATGGAAAATCAAAGTGCAGGAATATGAGGATGTTAGGAAGGTGAAGCTGGTGAGAGATGGGTGTGTTCAGGAGAGATGCCTGTCAGCAAAAACAACAAAGAACTTTTATATATGGTCCAAAGATGAATAGTTAAATGGGTTTTTAGGTTACCACTTTCTTCTATTCCCTTGACCTTAAAAATTCTTCATCTTGATAATTAAGCATTCATAAATTTGGAGGTTATGGAATGGGATGGAGAAAATCTAAGATTTTCTGTCAGCAACTTTATTTTTAAGTGATTTTACATTCTGTCAATGTTTGTCTCATCACCAGGGAAAAAATGGTTCATGGTAGTCTCAACCATCAGAAATATCTCAGGATTTCAAAAATACAATAAGAACACTCATTACTGATGCTTTTTCAGAACTTTCGACATGCTAAAAAGTTCACTAACATCAAAGAGGGTCTGTAATAACTATACAAGCTGAATTAAGCCAATATGACTCATAGGGTCATTGTGAAATATAGAAGGTTACCAAACTGCTTATACACAAAGGTGTCTGTTTCAGTCAAAGTTCTTGGTAAGAATAATTGAGACCAATTCTCTTTGATTTAAGCAGAGCAGTAGTTGATTAAAAGGGTATTGTCTTAGTTATTTGGGTTTCTATTACAAAATACCATTGACTGAGTACCTTACAAACACAAAAATTTATTTCTCACAGTTCTGGAGGCTGAGAAGTCCAAAATCAAGGGACTAGCATATTTGGTGTCTAAGGAAGGCCCCTTACTTCAGTCGTGGATGGCACCTTCTTGTATCCTCACATGGTGTAAGAGGCATTCTTTACAAAGAGACTCAGCTTTCTTGGGGCCTCTTTTATAAGGGCACTAATTTCATTCATAGTGGCTCTGTTCTTATGACCTGATCACCTCCTAAAGGCCCCACCTCCTAACACCATCACATTGGTGATTAGGTTTCAACGTAAGAATTTGGGAGGATACAGACTTTCAGACCATAGCAGATACTGAGTTATACTTCCATTAATTTTTTTTTTTTTTTTTTTTTTTGCCAGATGCAGTGACTCATGCCTATAATCCCAGTACTTTGGAAGGTCAAGGCACAAGGATCCATTGAGGCCAGGAGTCCAAGACCAGCCTGCACAATGTAGCAAGACTCCTTCTCTACAAAAAAATAAATAAAAATTAGCCAGGCATGGTGGTGCACTCCTGTAGTCCCAGCTACTCAAGAGGCTGATGTAGAGAATCGCATTATCCCAGAGGTCAAGGCTGCAGTGAGCCGTGATCATGCCTCTGCACTCCAGCCTGGACGATAGAGCAAGACTTTATCTCAAAAAACAAAAATTTAAAAAGATATCAGGTAGCTCATAGAATTGTTGAGAGGGCTGTAAAACCAGGCTTGAACTTAAACAGCAACGATAAACCACCCACAGAACGGACATGATGAAGAAGTTGGCAAATGTTACCAACTGTCCTGGTTTTTTTGGTGACTGTAGTTTCCAAGGATTCAGATCCTTCCATGCCAAAATCTGAAAAATGCTGGGCAAAGTATGACTGACAATGTGGTAATCTTACAGCTAGCACTAGAGACATCAAGCACTAGACAACACAATTTGCCCTTTGGCCACTTATACAATGGGAACTCACGCTTGCAGTAACCTCTATTGCCACTAGGAGAGAGAAACACAGAAGGAGGAAGGGAGAAGGGAGAGAGAGGAAAAAAACTGTTGCTTGTCTCCTTAGCTGTGAGTCAAAGGTCTAACACAGATGTCTGGCTGAAAAGCCTAGGTCACATGCCTGCACCCCAGAGAAAGTATGTGACATCTTCTGCTTCCATTATGGGAAACAGCCTTTGCTTGTCACGAAGATTTACATGGTGAGACATATCCTAAATATAGGGAAGCTGTTGAAGTGGCCCAAATAATGACCAATTTCTACTAATTTGTACTAATATCCAAATTACTTTTAATTATCTAATATTACTTAGATACAGTGAGGCAACCATTCGTTGGATATATAATGGTTTCTTTGATTTCAAAAATCTTTTTTTATGTAATATATGTCTGAAGACCATCAAAATAAATTCTTAAAGTCAGATTAATAGGATGTTACTTATAATATTATTGTAATTATTTGACCACATAATAGTTTATGCCCATTATATACTATGTAATTGTATGATGGAAATAATGCTGTACTTTGTTTGTAAAAGTTTAATTATCCTGACCTTTGTTCATCATAAAGAATTGCTCCATTTCTATTATTTATCGAGGAAAAAAGTTTCTCTCTTTTTGTTTTTAATATGTCATTAGGAGAAGAGTAGTTACACGTAGGCTAGAGTGTTTGCCAAGAAGAAATTGATTTTAATGGGAACCTTTTATCTAAGACAAACTTTAAGAAGAGCAGTAATGGACAATGTGTTCTGTGCAACTCTTCAGCCTTCAGTCTCACATTCATTGTGGTCAAGTATTTTCAGCAAAGAATAACAAGTCAGAGTTTGTGTATATTTTTCATAGCTGTTCATTCTCTTACAGAGTAACCTTGAACAAACCTCTTAAGATTTGTGTTTTATCTTCATATACTGAAATACAAAATGGGAATGCCTATATTTAATCAAAGATATAATTTTTACTGATAGATAGTAAAGAACAAAACACTGGAACAAGAATTCCTGTCCTGCCTTTCACAATGTGGTTTTGAGGCCTTGGCCATGTCACTTAAATTCTCATATCTGTTTTCTCAATCTATAAATGATCATAATACCTGCACTATCTGTCTCAAATTGCATATGTGAAAGCATCTTAAAGGTACAAAACAATAAATACAAAGCATTATTATTAAATTATTACACCTTCCAGCATTTAATGCTAAAAATGCCAAATGCGTCCTTTGGTTATATGTAGGAAATATGTCTCAGAAAAATCAATTTAAAATTATAGAAGCTAACAGGTAAGTCATTTTAAGTGTGTGGTTATCTTCTGCATGGCAGATTTTTAAATGGTAATTATTAATGAAGTTTTCCTATACTTACTGTTTCCAAGACTCCATTCTTTCCAAAGTTTTCTGAGTTATGCTTATCATCCCTTAAGTCTTAGGGATGCTCTTCTGAGCTTTTGGGGTTTGTTTAATTGATATGTCATAGTTGTACATATTTTAGGAGTTCTTGTGATATTTTGATACATGTATATAATGAGTAATGATAAAATCAGAGTAATTGGGATATCCATCACTTCCAACATTTGTCTTTGTGTTGGGAACATTAAAATTCTTCTCTTCTAGTTATTTTGACATATGCAGTGAATTATTATTAACTATAATTTCCCTACAGTACTATCAGATACTAAGACTTATTTCTTCCATCTAGCTATATTTTTGTACCCATTAACCAACCTCCCTTCCTTCCCTCCCCAGTCTCTGGTAATCACTATTCTACTCTCTACTGAGATTTTTTTAAACCTAAGATATCAAAAATAAGCTTCCATACAGGAGACAACAATTAACACAGCAAATAGAAAGTAGAATTGTTCTATGTAAAATAATTACACCCTCTTAGAGGCATAGAATATGACTCTATTTATAAGAGGGAACAAATGAAGAGGAGAAGAATGTGTTGAAAGAGATTTCCTTGACAAATACATCGTATCTACTTTGTGAAATTACCAAGTGCCTAAGGACTAGTAAAGTACTCAAATAGCCCCTATAAAGAGGCTTCTTTGTTTCTTTGATCTCTGGCCCTTTAAATAGTGTCTGGATAATCTCATATTAACTCCTGAGAGCTGTGAATTTATAGATTTAAAACTACTGATGCAGGACAGCTATGCAATTAATCGAGACACCAAAAATACAAGCAGGCAGACAAGATGCTTATTCTGCCAGCTCCACAATTTGGACTCTTCAGTAGGAAAAAATATCTCAAGCCTACTCCTTTAAAAAAGTTCTGTTTCTCAACTTTCACTGTCTAAACCTAAATAGAATTCCTTTCTATTTTTAATCCCCTTTCAACAAAGCGAAAGCTGAATTTACACACCAGTTTTTGTCTTTTATCCATCAACACTTTAGTTGAAGACAAACTACACTGCTCGTTAATCTCAAGTGGGATAAACCTTTCTGACTTTTTTCTCACACCTACTCAGTGTGTATTTTTCACAAAAGTTTAGTTTAGGGTAAATAATCTGAAGAGGTGGTATGCCTGATTCTCCGGGTGACCTTGGCAATCTCTCAGATTCTTTTCCTAGAGAATGTAATATAGTTAATAGATAGAGTAATCCAGTTATTAAAGAACTATATGTACTGCTGGGTGCAGTGGTTCATGCCTATAATCCCAGTACTTTGGAAGGCCAAGGCGGGTGGATCGCTTGAGCTTAGGAGTTCGAGATCAGCCTGGGCAACATGGTGAAACCCTGTCTCCACAAAAAATACAAAAATTAGCCAGGCATGGTGGCGTACTCCTGTAATCTCAGCTACTTGGTGGGCTGAGGCTGGAGGATTGCTTGAACCTGGTAAGCAGAGGTTGCAGTGATCCGAGATTGTGTCACCACTCCAGCCTGGATGACAGAGTGAGACCCTGTCTCGAAAAAAACAAAAACAACTATTATGTACTATAATTGATTTTTAAAACTATGTTATCTGTCTTGTCCAAGATAAGTACTCCAAAAAAACTGTTGATTTATCTTCATCCATTTATGCTACTATTACAGATACCACAGACTAGGTTATTTATTTATTTATTTATTTATTTTTTCAAGACAGAGTCTTGCTCTGTCTCCCAGGCTGGAGTGCAGTGGGGTGATCTCGGCTCACTGCAACCTCTACTTCCCGGGTTCAAGTGATTCTCCTGCCTTAGCCTCCCAAGTAGCTGGGATTACAGGTGCAAGCCTTCATGCCCGGCTAATTTTTGTATTTTTAGTAGAGACGGGGTTTCACCATGTTGGCCATGCTGGTCTCAAACTCCTGACCTCAGAAGACCCACCTGCCCCGGCCTCTCAAAGTACTGGGATTACAGGCGTGAGCCACAGCGCCCGGCCAGACTAGGTAATTTATGAACAATAGAAATTTATTTCTCACAGTTCTGGAGGCTGGGAAATCTAAGATCAAGGCAATGGCAGATTTGTTGTCTGGTGAGGGTCCAGTCTCTACTTCCAAGATGGTGCCTTGTTGCTGCATCCTCTGGAGGGGAGGAACACTGTGTCCTCACATGGTGGAAAGCAGAAGGGCAAAGGGACAACTGCCTCCATCAAGCCTTTTTACAAGAGCATCCAATCACAGGGGAGAAGCCCTCATGGCCCAATCACTTCTTAAAGGCACCACATTGACAATACCTGAATTTTGGAGGGCATATATTCAAACCACTACATTGTTGATTTCTTGATTGGGAGGTAATGTTTTGACTCATAGCAAGGGAAAAAGCAGATCTCATTTGTAAAGTGAAATATTCCACTCAGGATTGTTTATACATTAACTGAGACTAAAAAGCAATTTGATTTGGTTCTTCTTAAGTCTTATACACACAATATCCTACATATTAATAAAAATACAATGCAAATAATGCCACATTGTGTCCTGAAGTATAAGAAAGAAGTATAAGAAATAATCCCTGATCTCAATTTTACAGAGTGGTAATGGCTTATAACTTCTGACACATTTAAAAGGATTCCATTCAAAAAACAATTAAGTGTCTTTACCATGTACAAGGCATGGTAAACAAAATAACTATTTCGGTGTCCTAAGTAATGCCTCTGAAATATTGTGATTATAAATTAACTTTGTGTCTTTATTTTTAAAAGTCAACAAATTTTATGAGATATGTTAAAATAAAGAACAGCTCTCAATTGTTCTTCCACCCATCATTTCCCTGTGTCCAAAGACAACTACATTTACCTCTAAATGATTCTCTTCATATGTACCTCCATACTCTAGATAACATGTTTGTCTTGCTATGTCATATTCTTTTAGTTGTAGGCATTCCCTATGGTCTTTCCTCTCCACACCACAATTAAACACAGACATACAAAGCAGTTATCATTCTTATCACAATATAGTGATATAATTTTGGTTAGATAAATATATAGTGTTTCTATTATTATGACTATATATGCTTTCAGAATGGAGCAATATAGTCAACTATAATCATTTTCCTTTCCTAGAAAATATTTTGCTTTCCCTACAGCTAATAATTTTTGTGTGTGTTTAACTTCCTAATTTCTAATTCAATCAAACTCTCTTACAGTTGTTTAAATTCACATATTCTATCAATTTATTTATTTCATCTTCCTAAATATTTCTGTCCCAGGGTTTATGAAGTGCCTTAACCTTGACTTGTCACATAGCTGTCATCCTAGGGTCTCCCTTGATAAACATCTTGGAAAATCCTTTCACTTCTCTCCTAGGACAGGGCTCCTGTTTTGATGATGCACACCTTTGGTAACTTCCTCAGAGAGAATGTATGGGAAATAAATTTTTTGCATACTTGCATGTCTGAAAATGTCTCCTTCCTCTTTTTAAAAAACATACGTACTTGGTGTAGAATTCAAAGTTGGAAATAATTCTGCTTCAGAATTTTGAGGCCATTTCTCCTTGTCTTAGTCTGGTATATAAGCTATGCCACAGACTGGATAACTTACAAACAACAGAAATTGATTTCTTACAGTTCTGGAGGCTGGAAAGTCCAAGATCAAGATGCCAGCAGATTCCAAGTCTGGTGAGGGCTGCTTTCTGTTTCATAGGTGGTACCTTTTTGCTGTGTCCTCACCTGCTAAAAGGGGCAACACAGCTCTCTAGCATCTCTTTTACAAGGCCACTAATCTCAATCATGAAGCCTCTGCCCTCATGACTTAATCACCATTTAAAGGCCCCACATCTTAGTACTATCACATTGGTGATTAGCTTTCAACATATAAATTTTTGGGAGGACACAAACATTGAGACTACAGCAATATGTTATCTCTCAGTTTCACTGTGAGATGATGTATTAGTCTGTTTTCACACTGCTGATAAAGATATACCTGAGACTAGGCAATTTACCAAAGAAAGAAGTTTAATTGGACTTACAGTTCCACATGGCTGGGGATGCCTCAGAATCATGGTGGAAGGAAAGGAGGAGCAAGTCACATTTTATGTGGAATGCCAGCAGGCAAAGAGAGAGAGCTTGTGTAGGGGAACTCCTCTTTTTAAAACCATCAGATCTCATGAGACTTATTCACTATCACAAGAACAGCAGGGGAAAGACTTGCACCCATGATCCTATTACCTCCCACCGGGTCCCTCCCACAACATGTGGGAATTCAAGATGAGATTTCTGGGGGGACACAGCCAAACCATATCAGATGATATGCCTGGATCATTTGCTGAGGAATCCCTGAAGTTTTATCTATAACTTTCCTTTTGGGTGGATCTGATCCCTAGAAAAGTTTCGTCAAACTTCCTGCCCAACAGGTCTAGGCTTGGCTGCCAGTGTCTTGGAGCTTTCTTTGCTACTGATCCTGTATTCTCTCTACCTTTAGCCATCTATTTCTTATCTAGTGTGTTACTGTCCTTCATTCCTGAAAAAGTTGTACCTTTGGTGATGCTGCCTATATAGGTTGCTGTAGTCTTCCATTACCTTTTACCTCTGAATATACCAATAACAGAAGGGGCTCCTAATAATCACCTGGAGTTCAGCTACACTACTCCTCCCCCTATCTTATAGCAGCAGTCCTATTTCCCCTGATACCTGAAATATATTACCACAGCCAATCCCACAATCCTCTTTCTTACCAGTTGTATTGGTGGTTAAGAAGAACCTGAAGTGACCATTGAATTTCAACTTCAATAGAATTGCTGTTGTATTCCCTGGTAGAAGTATTCTTCTCTTGCTTTCTCAGACCACCAAATAATGAGAGCTCAGAGCTGCAGGGACAGGAAGAAAAAACATTTGAGGAAATCATTATGTATTAATTTATAAAATATTTATTGACAAATAGCATGTACCCTTAAAACTATCAGTGTTATAAAATAAAAACAAAGAAGCTGGGGCACTGTTCTAAATTTCAAAACCTTAAGAGACATGGCATTTAAGTGAAATGCGTAATTCCTGATTGAGTCCTTTATTAATTTTTAAAAAACAGCTATAAAATACATTATTGGAACAACTGAGGAAATTTGAATACAGGCTGTGTGTGTGTAAATATGTATGTGCATGTATATATATATAATTGTTAATTATCCTGAATGATATTTGCATTGTGGTTATGTATGTTATATATCATAGCTAATGCATGCTAAATTATTTGGAAGTGAAGGGTCACCATGTCTAAAACTTACTTTCAAATGAAGTCAGCAAAAAAAGTGTGTGTGTGTGTGTGTGTGTGTAGTGCAACTGAAAGAGAAATAAAGCAAATGTGACAAAATGTTAACAATGAGTGAATCTAGGTGAAGGGGATATGGATATCCATTGTATTTGTTGTTACATTTTCTGTAGGTTTTTTGTTTGTTTTTTGAGACAGGGTCTCGCTCTGTCACCCAGGGTGGAGTGCAGTGGTGAGATCATAGCTCCCTGCAACCTCCAACTCCTGGGCTTATGTGATCCTCCCACCTCAGCCTCCAAAGTAGCTGAAATTATAGGTGTGTGCCACCACACCTGGCTAATTTTCAAAATTTTTTTGTAGAGATAGAGCCTCCCTATATTGCCCAGGCTGGTCTCAAACTCCTGGGCTCAAGCAGTCCTCCCACCTTGGCTTCCCAAAGTGCTGCAATTGCAGGCATGAGCCACCACACCTGGTCTCTTTAGGTTTGAACATTTTCAAAACAAAAAAGTTGGAAGAGGCCAGGCACAGTGGCTCCCGCCTGTAATCCCAGCACTTTGGGGGGCCAAGGTGGACGGATCACCCGAGATCAAGAGTTCAAGACCAGCCTGGCCAACATGGCAAAATCCCGTCTCTACTAAAAAATACAAAAATTGGCCCAGCATGGTGACGCACACCTGTAATCCCAGCTACGTGGAACGCTGAGACATGCAAATCACTTGAACCCGGGAGGCGGAGATTGCAGTGGGCCGAGATTGCGCCACTGCGCTCCAGCCTGGGTGATAGAGTGAGACTCTGTCTCAAAAAAAAAAAAACAAAGAAAAAAAAAAGAAAAATTGGAGGATAGAGAGAAAGAAAAATATCTGTTGAGTGTGTTTTAGGCACCGCATTGAAAAGACAATAAATGGCTGCTTTCTTGGTAGGTAGAGGGAGCAGACAATAAACAAAATAAAACACATAGTACAATTATAAGTGTCATGAAGAAAAAACAGACAAAGGAAATAAGAAATACAGAGGGAATGATGGTTGCAGTTTTAAATAGGGTTTTTGTGTAAGCCCTCACTTAGAAAGTGACATCTGTACAAAGACTTTAAGCAAATAAAATAACAAAATATAGTGATATTTGGAGGTATGGTTGGGATGAGGGGAAATGTTCCAAGTCCAGGGAATAGGATGTGCAAATACCCTTCTGTGGGGACAAGCTTGGCACATGCTAGGAACCCTAAGGAGATCAATGGGGCTGAAACAAAGTGAAGACTTTGGCTTTTACTTTGAATGAGATGAGAGTCACTGGAAAGCTTTAAGTACAGAGTGACTTGACCTGAGTATGGAGAATAGACTATTGGTGAGCAAGAGCCAAAGCAGGAAAATCCACTAAAAGGCTATTGCAGTAATCCAGAGACTATGGTGTTTCGATCCAAGGTGGTAGTGGCAGTGGCAAGTGATCAAATTTGGGGTTAATTTTGGAGCTATGTCAAAAGGATTTGCTGATGGATTAGATGTGTAGTTTGAAAGAAGAGAGTCAGGCCAGGCACAGTGGCTCACACCTGTAATCCCAGCAATTTGGGAGGCCGAGGTGGGCGGATCACTTGAGGTCAGGAGTTTGAGACCAGCCTGGCCAACATGGTGAAACCCCAGAAGTGGTGGTGCATGCTTGCAATCCCAGCTACTCAGGAGGGTGAGGCAGGAGAATCACTTGAACCCAGGAAGTGGAGGTTACAGTGAGCCGAGATTGTGCCACTGCACTCCAGCCTGGGCGACTGAGTAAGACTCTGTCTCAAAAAAATAAGAAATAAAAAATAAAGAAACAAAGAGGAGAGTCAATACTGGCTCCAAGATTTTTGATCTAAACAATTGGAAAGTTGAAGTTGCAATCAATTCAGAAAGGGAAGACTGCAGGAAGAACAGCCTTAGAGGACAGATCTGGGGCTCAGTTTCTGACCAATTAAATGTAAAATGTACACGCAGGTGGAAATGTATTCCGTTGGATACTTGGGACTAGATTTTAGAACCAGGCTGAAAATTTAAATGTGACTTGTTAGCAAATTTATGTTACTTAAAGACATAAGACTTGAAGGGATCACCTAGGAAAGGAAAGTACGTAGAGAAGAAAAGAAGTCTAAAGATTGAGCTTTGGCTGAGCACAGTGGCTCACACCTGTAATCCCAGCACTTTGGGAGGCCAAGGAGGATGGATTACCTGAGGTCAGGAGTTTGAGACCAGCCTGACCAACATGGCGGAACTCCGTCTCTACTAAAAATGCAAAAATTAGCCAGGCGTGGTGGTGGGCACCTGTAATCCCAACTACTTGGGAGGCTGAAGCAGAAGAATCGCTTGAACCTGGGAGGCGGAGGTTGTAGGGAGCCAAGATCACACCATTGCACTCCAGCCTGGGCAACAGAGCAAGACTCCATCTCAAAAAAAAAAAAAAAAAAATAGAGCTCTGGGACACCCCAACATAAGAGGTCAGGGAAATGAGAAGGAACTAGCAAAGATATTCTGAGAAGAAATGATTAAAGAAGGAAAATCAAGGAGGAGTGGCACTTGGCCTCCAAGGTGTCTGCTTGGCTCTCTTCCAAGTGTACTTTCCTTTCTTTCCTGCTCTAAAGTTTGTTTGTTTTTTGTTCTGTTTTTGTTTTTTTGTTTGTTTGTTTTTTTGAGACAGAGTTTTGTTCTGTCACCCAGGCTGGAGTGCAATGGCACAATCTCGGCTCACTGCAACCTCTGTCTCCCAGGCTCAAGCAATTCTCCTGCCTCGTCCCCCCGAGTATCTGGGATTACAGGCGTGTGCCACCACGCCCGGCTAATTTTTTTTATTTTTGGTAGAGACGGGGTTTCACCATGTTGGCCAGGCTGGTCTTGACCTCCTAACCTCAGGTAATCCGCCCACCTCAGCCTCCCAAAGGGCTGGGATTACAGGCGTGAGCCACTGCGCCTGGCCTCTAAAGCTTTTTTAATCAACCTCAACTCCTGCTCTGAAACTTGCCTCAGTCTCTTTTTCTGCCTTATGCCCCTCAGTTGAATTCTTTCTTCTGAGGAGGCAATAATTGAGGTTGCTGCAGACCCATACAGATTCACCACCAGTAACTCATATTCACCACTGCAAACATATTTTGGTGCCGTGTAACTCAGACACATTCCCTAGTGATAAGAGATCTCTACGCCTCGCCTTCTTCGGCTGGAGGCATTTGACCCCTGTGCACGATTTTCTTCTCCCCTTTCTCTCTCCTGCTTACTAGCGAACCCCCAGAACAATGCCTCTTGGCCATAGGTGACCCTGCTCCCCACGGCCGATTTCTTAGCTCACCCTGACAGGTGGCTCATGGGGGTGGAAGGGACCTTAGGGTCCGCACCGAGTAGATCTGAGGCACTAGTGGTTCTCCTGGACAGGAGACTTGCAAGAGTGTAAGGCCAAAGCCTAAACCATGCAACGTCTGGAGTTTCCTCTGCTTTTTCAACTTAAAAAAAAAGGAGGGGTGCCTTAGAAGCCATTGAAGAATGTGTTTCAAGGAGGAAAGAGAGATGAACTGTGCCAAATGCTCCTGATAGGTCAAATAAGATGTGCATTGAGATTTTTTTCATGCAGTATCACGTCAGGGGCTTAGGGCTTGTTGTTGCTGCTAGAAAATGGGGCACTCAGCAGAGGCAGCCGCCATAGTGGCCTTAGTGAGAGGACATGCATGTCGTTGACCCGACTCATAGCCATCATCTGCTACAATGGCCATTTTATGAGCTCACTGAGCAAGCACTGGGATGCAGAAAGATGTTGAGTGACATCTATAGTATCAATCATTTTATCCACTTCATTATTGAGATGGTCCTCTAAAGTGGGCATCTTTTGTGGTCACTCTCATGGGACTCAAATATTCTAACATTCTGGACCCATTCTGAGAGATCTAGCCTTATACCACATTTCAAAAACTCCTTGTCAGCAGCTCTTCAGTCCATTTACTCCCAAGACCCTGACCATTCAGTGAAACCTTTCGTTATTTTCCAGGAATCATTGTACTTATTTATCTAATGTCATTTCTCCTTTTAGATAAAGTGGACAATGAGAAGTCTTCATTAAAGTGTGATTAACTGGGGGATTTCTTTTTTCCACTACTTTTCAGGATCACATCTGAATTAAGCTATCATCAAGTCCTCTTCCTTGAAATTCACATTCATATATTCAGCTAAAGACATCTCCACTTGGATTAATAATACATATCTTAAACTTCATTCAAAATTAAGCCCCTGGCCTGCTTTTCCAGCTGAATGAAACTGTAAGCTTTTCATTTGGTACCAATGAAACCTAATTCTCTGTAACCAAGCTGGATTTTTTTTTCCTCCCCATGATCATAGAGAATTCTACACAAAGCCCTTAGGTATGGGCTGAGGAAGAAGCAACAGAAAAAATGCTGTAAATATGAGACATCTTCACATGACACTTACTTGTATCTTGCTTGTTTCTGGTCCTACGTATACACTGCTTTCACTTGATGGAATGCTGCTGGCAACATCAGACTGTATGGCTAGGTAGATCATACAACACTTGTTTCATGGAACGTTCCTCAAAATCCATGGCTCCTTGGTACCTTATGGTCAGGTGCTCAGTTTCTATCAGAAACCAGTATCAAAACAAGAGTTGCTTATCAAAAATAGAATAGTCACTTGCCAAAAAGGGCATAGTTCTCTCCCAAACTATCAGGTACCTCCATTTTGACTCCCTTACTAGAACTTGCCATCATCTCCATGCAGCTCCCTGATCCACCTTTATCAGCTAGAGAAACTTTTTTTGCTCTGCGGCCCTCTCAAAGCTGAGATCTTTTGTGTTAACCTGAAAATGGATCAGAGCAACATACTCAAATGTGGTGTATGCTGCCTCCAAAATCCAAGGAAGCTCACAAACCATTGTGTCTCTTCCTGAATGGTAGGGAGAGTAGAAAAACATGATCATCATTTTAGAGGGAATATCCTAACTCATCCAGGCTGAAGTGCGAGTGGTGCTCAAAGACTGATCAATTATGCCTTATAGAGAATGTGACAAGTTTTGTTAGGCGAATCACAGCAGGGCTTTGAAGCACTTAGAGGCACTTGAACACTTAGAGGCCATTGTAGGGTTATTAACTGACCTAATTTCAATTTTGTTGTATCTTAGGAAATAGAAGAGTATGAGGAAAGGAAGAAAGATGAGAGAACGAGTTGCCTATGAAGTACTCAGAACACACATTTTTTACATGAAGTTCACCATCTTTTTTTTTTTTTTTTTTTTTTGAGATGGAGTTTCGCTCTTGTTGCCCAGGCTGGAGTGCAATGGCGCACTCAGCTCATTGCAACCTCCGCCTCCGAGGTTCAAGCAATTCTCCGGCCTCAGCCTCTGGAGTAGCTGGGATTACAGGCGCTCACCACCATGCCTGGCTAATTTTTGTATTTTTAGTAGAGACGGTGTTTCTCCATGTTGATCAGGCTGGTCTTGACCTCCTAACCTCAGGTGATCTGCCCGCCTCAGTCTCTCAAAGTGCTGGGATTACAGGCGTGAACCACCGCGCCCGGCTAAAGTTCACCATCTTATATGAGCGTGGTTGGTGGTGCCCCAAAACAATTACAATAGTAACACCAAAGATCACTGAGCACAGATGACCATCACAAATGCAGATCACTTGCATTTGTTAGGAGAATCACAGCAGGGCTCTATACTCACTTATAAAAATTTATATAATTTAGGCCAAGTGTGGTGGCTCATGTCTGTAATCCTAGCACTTTGGGAGGCCAAGCGGGGAAGACCCCTCTTTTGTTTTTTTCCTTTTTGAGACAGGCTCTCACTCTGTTTCTCAGGCTGGAGTACATTGGCATGATCTTGGCTCACTGCAGCCTTGACCTCCTAGGCTCAAGCGATCCTCCCACCTCAACCTCCCAAGTACCTAGGACTACTGTCATGCACCACCATGGCTGGCTAATTTTGTTTATTTTTTATTATTTGTAGAGACAAGGTCTCACTATGTTGCCCAGGCTGGTCTCAAACTCCTAGACTCAAGCTACCCTCCTGCCTCTGCCTCCCAAAGTGCTGGGATTATATGCGTGAGCCACTGTGCCTGGCCAGGGAAGATCTCTTGAGGCCAGGAGTTCAAGATCAGCCTGGGCAACAAAGCGAGACCTCGTCTGTACAAAAATAAAACATAAAAAAATTTAGCTAGTTCTGGTGGCACATGCCTGTAGTCCCGGCTACTTGAAAGGCTAAGGCAAGGGTACAGTGAGTTATGATTGCATCATTATATTCCAGCATAAGCAACGAAGTGAGACACTGTCTTAAAAAAAAAAATTACAGGTTTGGCACAGTGACTCATGCCTGTAATCCCAGCACTTTGGGAGGCTGAGGCAGATGGATCACCTGAGCTCAGGAGTTCGAGACCAGCCTAGGCAACATGGCGAAACCCGGTCGCTACCAAAAATACAAAAAATTAGCCAGGCATGGTGATGCCCCTGGGGTCCCAGCTACGAGGGAGGCTGAGGTGGGAGGATCGCTTGAGCATGGGAGACAGCCATTGCAATGAGCCAAGATGATGCCACTGCACTCCAACTTGGATGACAGAGTGAGGCCTCATCTCAAAAAAAAAAAATTAAACATATAAAAATGAAAGAAAAAAATATATAACATAATATACAATAAAATACAATCTATAATGAAGAATTATATATATATTTTTTAAAAACACCCTGTAGGGTCGGGTGTGGTGGCTCACATCTGTAATCCCAGCATTTTGGGAGGCTGAGGCGAGTGGGTTACTTGAGCCCAGGAGTTTGAGACCAGTGTGGGCAACATGGTGAAACGCTGTCTCTACAAAAAATACAAAAATTAGCCAGGTGTGGTGGCTTGTGCCTGTAGTCCCAGCTACATGGGAGGCTGAGGTGGGAGGATCGCCTGAGCCTGGGGAGGGTAAAAATGCAGTCAGTCGTGATCATGACACTGCACTCCAGCCTGTGCAACAGAGGTGAGATCCTATCCCAACAACAACAAGAACAAAACAAAAAACAAACAAACAAGAGCTGGGCATGGTGGCTCATGCCTGTAATCCCAGCACTTTCGGAGGCTGAGGTGGGCAGATCATGAGGTCAAGAGAATGAGCCCATCCTAGCCAACATGGTGAAACCCTGTCTCTACTAAAAATACAAAAATTAGCTGGGCATGGTGGCGCACACCTGTAGTTCCAGCTACTCAGGAGGCTGAGGCAGAAGAATTGCTTAAGCCAGGAGGCAGAGGTTGCAGTGAGCCAAGATTGCGCCACTGCACCTCCAGCCTGGCAACAGAGTGAGACTGTCTCAAAACAAACAAACAAACAAGAAACAGCCTGTGGCTTGCTTGCTATAATCCCTGATAGACACTGAGTGAATGCCCATGAAATACCTGGTACCAATCATTAACCTGATATTATCTAACCAGACATAAAATCAAGCATCAGTACAGGTATACTTCATTTTATTGTGATTCACTTTATTGTGTTCATAGATACTGCGTTTTTTTTTTTACAAATTGAAGACTGGTGACAACCCTGCATGGAGCAAGTCTATTGGCACCGTTTTTCCAACAGCATGTGCTCACTTCATGTTTCTGTATTACATTTAGGTAATTCTCATAATATTTCAAACATTTTCATTATTATTATATCTGTTATTGTGATCTGTAATTAGTGATCTTTAATGTTACTATTGTAATTGTTTTGGGGCACCACAAACCATGACTATGTAAGATGGTGAACTTCATGGATAAATGTTGTGTGTGTTCTGATTACTCCATAGACAACTCATTCTCCCATCTTTCTCCCTCTCCTCACATGTCCCTGTTCCCTAAGACACAACAATATTGACATTAGACCAATTAATAGCCCTACAATGGCCTGCTAAGTGTTCAAGAGAAAGGAAGAGTCACACATCTCTCAATTTAAATCAAAAGCTAGAAATGATTAGACTTACTAAGAAATGCACATCAAAAGCTGAGATAAGCCAAAAGCCAGGCCTCTTGAACCAAATAGTTAGCCAAGTTGTGAATGCAAAGGAAATGTACTTGAAGGGAATTAAAAGTGCTACTCCAGGGAACACACAAATGATAGATAAAAAGTAAAACAGCTTTATTGCTGATATGGAGAAAGTTTTAGTGGACTGGATGGAAGACCAAATCAGCCAAACATCTTAAACCAAAGGCTAATCCAGAGCGAGGCCCTATCTCTTCAATTCTATGAAGGCTAAGAGGGGTAAGGAAGCTGCAGAAGAAAAGTTTGAATCTAGCAGAGATTCGTTCATGAGGTCAAAGAAAAGAAGCCATTTCCATAACATAAAAGTGCAAAGAGAAACCGCAAGTGTTGATACAAAAGCTGCAGCAAGTTAGCAAGAAGATTTAGCTAAGACAATTAATGAATGTGGCTACACTAAACAACATATTTTCGGTGTAGATGAAATAGCTGTCTCTTGGAAGAAGAAGCCATCTGGGACTTTCATAGCTAGAAAGAAGAAATCAGTGCCTGGCTTCAAAGCTTCCAAGGACAGGCAGACTCTCTTGTTAGGGGCTGAGGCAACTGTTGACTTTAAGTTGAAGCCATTGCTCATTTCCCACCCCCAAATTCCTAGGGCCCTGAAGAATTATGCTAAATTTACTCTACCCGTGCTCTACAAATGGAACAACAAAGCCTGAATGACAGCACATTTGTTTACAGCATGGTTTAGTGGATATTTTAAGCCCAGTATTGAGACCTCCTGCTCAGGGAAAAAAAAAAAAAAATTCCTGAAAAAAATGTTACTGCTCATTGACAATGGACCTAGTCAATCAAGAGCTCTGATGGAGGTGTACAAGGAGATTAATGTTTTTTTCATGCCTGCTAACACAACATCCATCTATTCTGTAGCCCATGGATTAAGGGGTAATTTCAACTTTCAAGTCTTATTACCTAAGAAGCACATTTCGTAAGGCTGTAGCTGCCATAGATAGTGATTCCTCTGGTAGATCTGGGCAAAGTCAATGGAAAACCTTATGGAAAGGATTCACCATTCTAATGGCATTAAAAACATTTGTGATTGATGGAGCCTGAAGATTAACTGCAATGCTGCAATCTCACAATAAAACTTGAACAGATGAAAAGTTGCTTTTTATGGATGAACAAAGAAAGTAGTTTCTTGAGATAGAATCTACTTCTGGTGAAGATGCTGTGAACATTGTTGAAACGGCAACAAAGGATCAAAAATATTACATAAGCTTAGTTAATAAAGCAATGGTGGGAGGTTTTGAGATGATTATCTCCAATTTTGAAAGAAGTTCTACTGTGGGTAAAATGTTATCAAACAGCATTACAGAGAAATCTTTCATGAAAGGAAGAGTCAGTCAATGTGCCAAACTTCATTGTTGTCTTATTTTAAGAAATTGCTGCAGCCACTCCAACTTTCAGCAACCACCACCCTGATCAGTCAGCAGCTGTCAACATGGAAGCAAGACTCTCTATCAGCAAAAATATTAGGACTTGCTGAAGGCTCAGATGATTGTTAGCAACTTTTAGCCATAAAGTATTTTTAATTAAGGTATATACGTGTTTTTTTAACATAATGCTATTGCACACTAGCAATGGACTATGGTGTATTGTAAATAATAACTTTTATATGCATTAAGAAACAAAAAAAATTGTGTGACTTGGTTTATTGCCATATCCACTTTATTGTAGTGGTCTAGAACCAAAACCACGTTATATCTGAGGATGGTTTCCACCATCATCAAGTGGAAACAATGTAAACAGGACTAGACCCAACAGGTCCAAAGTCACAAGAAAGTTGCACATGCAGATGGCTCACACTGCAGCATGCCTTTTCTGATTACACTGCCACACTTTCCATATTCCACTCCTGTGGAATCACGGATACTTCCTTATGATCACTTGCCTGGGAAGGAAAAAAAAAACCTAACCAAATTTATAGAAATCTCTGCATGGTATGATAGCTCTTGCCCTAAATGGATTTCTGTAACATTCAGTTCCATCTAGGTAGACCCTGAAGGATGGTGGGAAAGGGATATCTTCCCTGTGGGAGAAACTTCAAGAACTGTAACTCACTGGGTAGTCTGCTCCTTGCAAATGAAAACATCCTATGTGATGTGAATTTTCCATGCAACATTGCTTCATTGCTTCAACAAATGAACTCTGTGAGTCAATATTCTGATACCCATTAGATTTACAGGTCTTATCTTGCACCCCATCAGCCAGAAGCAGTTGATGTTGATCTTATAGAATAGTGACATGGCTATTGAAAACCCAGTTACATTGCCAGCTCTCAGGCCATGCTATATTGGGGTGTGAAGCTGGGATGTGATCCTGCAGGATGAGGTAAATGCTCAGAACCTTTGAATAATACATAGTGCAGTTTCTCTTCTCCAGGAACCAAAGGAGTATAAATGGGGTTGTGCCTCCAAAAGTTTTATCAGTAGCCCTTGCATAAAATGTTTGTTTCCTGTCCTCATGACTTTGGTCTTTGATAATTTAGCAGTTTTAATAATTAAGAGTACACACACCAGGGATACAATAATTTTGTGGGATAGACAAGTAGAAATGTCTTTTAGTCAGAAAATACAGGGTCACAATTTAAATGAGAAGACAAGACTAGAGGTAACAGTTTGAGAGTCTTCAGGTGTCCGATGTGAAGGTGTAAGAGTAAATTAGTCCTCTGAAGGAGAGTGCAGACTGAGCAGCCAGCCAAAGACTGCAACCTGGGAAATCCTATAGTCAGAGGCTGAAGAAATGAACACAGGTTGAAACAATCTACGATAAAAATCAGTGAGGCATTTCTAGCTTTAAATAGTATTTGGCTAGCAGCCCTGCCTCAGGGTCTCTCAACTGCTGCCTAAAACCCATAAAAAGGTAAAGAAAAATGACAAAATTAATCCTAACACAGAGCATAAAGAATGACAAGCTGCTTGCTCATTACCAGGAGGAATTGCCCTAATTTATGAGGCTAATGGAGGTGGATTCAGAAAAACAGTTGTTGGCTTATCCATACTCTACTTCATGGTACAGAACAGATCCACCCATCTGAAAGAAAGTTTGGCATCTGAGCATCCCTTTCCCACTGTCTGCTCACTGAATTAGAGAGCCAGTGTCCATCAGAGCTGCAAACTAAGCAGCTGGCCCTCTTCGGCCTCTGTATTAGCCTGTTCTTGAATTGCTGTAAAAAAAAAATTACCTGACACTGGGTAATTTATAAAGAAAAGAGGTTTAATTGGCTCATAGTTCTGAAGGCTATACAGGAAGCATTGTGGCTTCTGCTTTTGGGGAGGCCTCGAGAAGCTTCCAATCATGGCAAAAGGCAAAGGGGGAGCAGGCATCTTACATGGCAGGAGCAGGAGCAAGAGAGAAAGTAAGGGAGGAGGTGATACACACTTTTAAACAACCAGCTCTCACGAGAACTCACTATCATGAGGCATAGCGTGAAGGGGATGGTGGTAACCGTTCCTGAGAAATCCACCCCTGTGATTCAATCACCTCCCACCAGGCCCCACCTCCAACACTGAGGATTATAATTCGACATGAGATTTGGGCAGAGACACAGATCCAAACAATATCAGCCTCTCGAATCTAAAATCCTGCTTTGAGACGTGATTATAATACTGTTAGAGACTATCATCTTTATGCATGTAACTGGGGACTGCAACTTCCGGAATTCAGTGGCGAAAGATGGGGTGGATGGAGAGACAGGTAATTGTCCATTTGCCCTGTCACATTTGTCCCTATGAATACAGTGTACGGGGAGAGTGCTGGCTGCAGTGCTTGCTGAAATGATAGCTGATCATGGATTCCATTGGTTTAAGACAGTGGAATAACAAAAGGCCCTGGGAATTACTCTCACGTAGGCATATCGATCTGGACTCTACTTAGAGATCTAAGAGTGGAGCCAAAGGAAATCCACACTTCCTATCTGAATAGATGACTGATATACTGGACATAGATGAGAAAATAAAGAAGGGAAAAACCTGTCCAAACTGACCTAAGATCTTAATTCTCTCCAGATTTAGCAGTATGAAAAGCTATCACATTCTTGTGTATTTTATTTCCTCAAGTTAACATTCCTGGCTGTCTCCAGATTCTACTAGTTAAGGTCCATCTTGCCTGACAACCTTTGAAAAAGATCCAGTTCTTGAGTTCATCTTCCCTCACAGATTTCAAGTTTCAGATTATTGTTTGCTTCTCAAGGCTGCTTGGCAAGGCTCTTAGACTTCAACTCTCCTTTGTTCCCTATCCACAGCTAGTGGTCAGCTCTGCTTACTTGCACATGACCTGTCCCAAATCCTTGGAACCTTGGTCCATATCACACTCCCAAGCCCTCTTCTTGTCCCAAGAGAAGCATAAAAAATAATATACAAAAGGGAAAGGATCATAATACAGAAGATTCAGAAGATTCGCTTATCTCTGAAAGTGATTTTCTAAGGAAATAGATACCTCTTTTAGAAAATTTGCATTCTCAAGAAGAAAGCAAGAAGATGAGGCTTGTATGAAACAGAAGCAGAAAGACAAAAGAGATGAGATAAAACCCAATCTGAGAATTACAAGTATGTTTGAGGAGTAATCTGGACTAATTTAAACAGAAGTAATAGTAACTCAAAGGCAAATTGAATAAAAATATCTAGACTTAAAAGAAGACCTAAAAGTAAAGAAAAAGGTGACATGAGATTAATGGTCAAAGATCCATATCTAGACATATCCTAGGGGGCAGAGAAGATAACAAGGAGTTTGCAAGCATTCCAGTAGACTAAAACAGATTACTTATAAATAACTAAAAATCAGATAACCCTCATTTAGAGCTTCCATTATAACAAAGTTTGTAACAAAATTTGGATGGATAAAATTTACAATTTAAGCTACTGTTTAAGTGCAAACTAATGTGTTTATGTACGATGGCAAGATAAAACATGAGAAGTTTCAGAATAAAATAATACCCATATTTTCTTCTTTAAAAAAGTCTTGAGCATAGCCGAGCACAGTGGCTTTTACCTGTAGTCCCAACTACTCAGGACTCTGGAGGCTGAGGTGGGAGGATTGCTTGAGCCCAGGAGTTCAAGGTCAGTCTTGGCAACATTGAGAAACCCATGTCTAAAAACTTTTTTTTAATAAAAAATAAATCACATTAAAGCTCTTTTAAAATTTGTCTAGCAGGTTTTCTGGTCTTTACCAGAAAGTCCCCGACAATGAAAAAAAATTTTTGTAAGAAAAATAAATTTTAAGAAATAAATCTTGGCTGGGAGCGGTGGCTCATGCCTGTAATCCCAGCACTTTGGAAGACCAAGGTGGGAGGATCACTTGAGCTCACGAGTTCAAGACCAGTCTAGGCAACATGGTGAAACCTCGTCTCTAATAAAAGTACAAAAAAAAAAAACCTAACTGGGCGTGGTGGCCCACACCTGTCATCCCAGCTACTCAGGGTGCTGAGGTGGAAGGATCGCTTGGGGCAGAGAGGTCGAGGATGCAGTGAGCCAAGATTATGCCACTGCACTCCAACCCAGGCAACTGGAGTGAGACCCCATCTCTAAATAAATAAATAAATAAATCTTGAGTATCTTCAACTAAGAAATCAGAATAAGAATTCCAAATGAAGGCCAGGTGCAGTGCTCATGCCTGTAAACCCAGCACTTTGGGAGGCTGAGGCAGGCAGATCACCTGAGGTCAGGAGTTCGAGACCAGCCTGGCCAACTTGGCAAAACCCTGTCTGTACTAAAAATACAAAAATTAGCCAGGCGTGGTGGCAGGCACCTGTAATCCCAGCTACTTAGGAGGCTGAGGCAGGAGAATCACTTGAACCTGGGAGGCAGAGGATGCAGTAAGCTGAGATCACGCTATTGCACTCCAACCTGGGAGACAGAACGAGACTCCATTTCAAAAAAAAAAAAAAGGAATTCCAAATGAGTAAGTTGTGCTATAAAATATGCACAATGGACATTAAAGCCTATTAAGTGTTATTTATTCAATTAACAGATACTTATTAAGTATTTTTACTATGTACTAAGCAATGGAAATGCAACAGTGAACAAGACTGTTTATTCCACTCGAGGGAAATAAAGACAATTCAATAAGTAATTATGGGTCGGGTGCGGTGGCTCACTCCTGTAATTCCAGTACTTCGGGAGGCTGAGGCAAGCGGATCACCTGAGGTCAGGAGTTTGAGATCAGCCTGTCCAACATGGTGAAACCCCATCTCTACTAAAAATACAAAAATTAGCCAGGCGTGGTGGCAAGTGCCTGTAATCCCAGCTACTCGGGAAGCTGAGGCAGGAAAATCACTTGAACCTGGGAGGTGAAGGTTGCAGTGAGCCGAGATGGTGCCACTGCACTCCAGCCTGGGTGACAGAATGAGACTCTGTCTCTCAAAAAAAAAAAAAAAAAAAAGTAATTATGATCAAGTGTGTGCTATGAAGCATATAGTGGAGGTCGAGGGCCACCCAGAGGAAGTGCAATGTTAAAACGAGGCTAGAAATTAGCCAGGCAAACAAGAGCAGGGAAGAGAATATTCTAGACAAAGTGAGGAGCCTCAAAAGAGAGAGCATTTGAAAAATGGAAATGTGTTCAGTGGGCCTGGAGCTTTGAGATCAGGCTACCAAGGTCGTCAGGGGCTGGATCATGACTGTAAGCCATACTAAGGGCTTTGGTTTTTATCATAAAGGTAAGGCAAGGGATAGATATTATGGAAGAGTTGATCAGGAAAAAGATGATCAGATCTGAGCTTCAGAAAATACTTTTTTTTTTTTTTTTT